>NC_000001.11:231335636-231487151 GCF_000001405.40 Homo sapiens
TTGCTTGGCAGGTTTCCCCACACCTTCTTCAAACCTTTTCTCCACCACAGGGAGGACTGTTTCATATAAAAAGGATGCATTCTGTCTGATAAAAGCTTTCTTCTCTGGATCCTGCTCACATCGAAGACTATAATCCACATGCTGAACAGCAACCAAAATGATTTCCACCAGGCTCTCCAAAAGTACCATGTGCAGCTCTGGGAAATACAGCTTCAGGGCCTCTTCCAAGAAGCCCATGGTCTGTTTGGTGAAAGCAACCACTGTGTAACTTAGGTTCACCCAGCAGTCATCCCCTGTGTACTGCTCAAAGTTACTTACCCCACAACTTTTCATCTCTTCTTTGAGCTTACCCAGGGCTTCTGGCGTCATCAAGTTCATCCTCCTCCACATCTCTTCAGAGTTGCGATGTTTAGTGGCTTCAATGATGATTTCTTTGTAACTGTGCAAGGCCCCTTGGATGTCTTTCACCAGAAGGGCATGGATGATGAAGGTGAGATCCAGTCCGATATCACCCAGTTGCTGGCAATGCTCCTTAGCCACTTTTACACACTCAGCTGCTGTAGAGAGGCTCTCCTTACTATCAAACACCTGCTTGCTAAAAGCATCCACGAACATGCCCATGGCTGATCTTGCCCAGACCACAAAGGCAGAGTAGCAGCCGCTGTCAGTGCCTGCAAAATCGATCTCAAATTCTCTTGCAGTCTCGAGAAGGCTGGTAAAGAAGACATGGCACAGCTTATGAATATAGAGTAAAGTGGCACCTTCGATGCGAAGCTGACGAATTGCAGTATGAACAGCGGCTGCCCTGTTTCTCAAAAATAGCTCACAGGCCTTCGTGCACTGGCCCAGCCGGATCAGTTGCGAAACTGCTCTGCGAGTAGCCTTCGGACCACCTCTCAGGGAACGATCTGGGGAGAGTTCGAAAACTAGCACCTCAGTGAGCTGTCGAACTCGCTCCTCCACTTTGGCCCTTAGTTCTTTTACAGGAGGTGGGCTAGGTTTATCTTCCAGGTAATGGTTCAATTTATCCAGCAGGTCAACCGCCCCTTCAAAGTCTCTCTGCGCAATGCAGACATCCAGGTCTTCAGGTAACTCCTGGATCCATTCCATGGAGAGGTCCACCTTCTCTTCCTCTACCTCAGGAACAGCTGGTTCTTCTTCTTCGTCATCCTCAAATGGGTTAGTGGCCTTGGAAGTCACTTGGGGTGGCCCTCGAGGGGCCGCTGCCTCCTCCTGCTCCCTTCGCCTTTTCTCACTGAGGGCCCTCTTGGTGTCCTCCAGCACTTCCAGCCACTCTCGTTTGATTTTAGCATTTTCGGCCTGGAAAATACGGCTCTCGGGGAACATAAGCAGCTTGAACATGTCCTTCATGGGCGGGTTGTCCTTGACATTGACTACGGCCAAACCATCTAGGGAATAGAGAGCGTTGTAGCGATACATCCCACGCCGCTGAGGCAGCCAGGTAGCCACCAACAAGCAATCGTTCATGAGAAAGCCGTGCACCCGCTGCAGTTGGGCCATGTGGTCCGCATCGTATTCCACTAGGTCCCCATTGTACACCAAGTACTGTCCCGGCGTCTCCAGCAGATGCCTGCAGCCTTCCACCTTCTCAAGCAGGGTGGTGAGAGTGCGCTGCTTTCCTTCCTCGCCTGGACCGGAGCCGTCGCGGGAGGCACCCCCGGGGGTGGAGAAAAAGCCGGCCTGGCCTCGGAGGTGGTCTCGGCCCCCCGCCCCACCGACTCCCTCCTCCCCTCCAGAGGCGGCGGCGGCTCCGGCGGCAGCAGCGGCAGGCAGCAACGTAAGCGGGATGCTCTCCAGGCTGCTTTTCTGCTCGGTCAGCAAATGGCTGAGCTGGTACATCTCGCTCTCCAGGTAGGAGATCTCGCGGGCCGTCTCTATGAACTGCCGGTAGTTCTGGTAGACGTTGCGCTTCAGGTTCTGCGCCGTCTCCTCCGCCAGCGCCTGGATGCGCTGCCGGTGCTCCTGGAGGTCCCGGTCCCCATCCGACTGCTGCGAGAGCTGCTTCACGTACAGCCGCGCCTCAAAACCCCCTGACTCCAGCTGCCGACGCAGGCGGCTCGCCCCACTGTCCGACATCGCCATCGCCATTTCTCTCCGGGTCTCACGCACTCACTGTCACTATCGGCGCCGCAGCCGCCGCGGCTGTCTAGACCCACCCAAGGCCAACCGAGCTCCTGGGCTGAGGAAGCAGGAATGGGAACGAGACGAGTACGCCTGCGCCGGGTCTGAGCGTCAGACACTGCGCCTGCGCAAGTGGGCCGAGCGCAGACATTGCGCCTGCGCAGCAATGCCATCGGTTAAAGCGCATGCGCAAGATGAGCTATTGCGGAAGTGAGGGGAGGGAGAGGCCGAGAGAAATTTCGGTACTGCGCATGAACCGAGCGTGACGTTGAGGTTTGAAATAACCGGCAAAGAGTAAAGGCTGAAACTAGCTTCCTGAAAGCTTCGTAGGGCCCGAGCCCTGTGAGCCCAGGTTCTGCGCCCACTAGGAGGTGTCATGCTGACTGCTTTTTTTAAAGCCCTAGAATCTTGGCTTCGGCGTTTGGGGTAAGCTCCGTTCTCGTTCTCAAGCGCGTTTCCGCGAACTCTCGCGGGATTGACGGGCCGTCTCGAGAGCCGGCATCTCCTAGGAGCTAGTCCTGGTCCTCGGCTAGGCGGCTTGGGGTCGCGGCGTAACTGGGGAGCCAGCCTGACGCCGGCGGACCCCGCCTGTGATCCTGGCAACGATGGATGATGACTTGATGTTGGCACTGCGGCTTCAGGAGGAGTGGAACTTGCAGGAGGCGGAGCGCGATCATGCCCAGGAGTCCCTGTCGCTAGTGGACGCGTCGTGGGAGTTGGTGGACCCCACACCGGACTTGCAGGCACTGTTTGTTCAGTTTAACGACCAATTCTTCTGGGGCCAGCTGGAGGCCGTCGAGGTGAAGTGGAGCGTGCGAATGACCCTGTGAGTTCCGAGCCCCGCTGGGGAAAGAGGCGGGACTGGCAGCTTTCCTGCAGCCCCCGGCCCTGGTTTTCTCTCCTTTCTCTAGTCCGACGGTCCCAGGGGGCGTTAAATGAGGGGAGTCTGGTTTTGGACCTGGCAATTCCTGCCTCGGCGTGTTTCTGTCTTCCTTACCTTTTCTCCCACTCGAACAATAAGAAAGCTGTGTAGACCACACCGCCACGGTTGGACTCAGGGCCGTAACAAAAAAGAGATTTTTATTTGAATCTCACTTCACTTGAAAATAACAAGTTCCTGATTTGCCTTATGATAGTGCTGTAGGACCCAGAAGGGAGAAGCAACCAAATCTGCACCTAAGAAAGTGCTGAGGACGCAGAGTAACTGCCAAAGGATGTGTGTTCTCCTCCTCTATTCCCGTTAGGAAACCCACTTTAGTTAGCTCGTGTGTTGCATTGGGGATCTTCAGTGATGCTTTTAAAACGATTCTTTTTCTACACGCTAAATTTCAGAAATCCCTATTTGAAATAATAATCTACTCCTGCACGTGAACAGGGTTAAGTTTAAGATACAGTTGTATCCCAGCATGCTTGTTTTTGAGTTGATAGAAAACAACCTACTGTCAAACAAATTAAGATATGATATTAAATTGTGTTTAAAGTACCAATTTCCTTTATACAGGCGTCTGTTATGATTTTGGAGATATGCTACTGGAGATATCTGCTTGTTAATAACACCGAACTGTAACTTGTCGGAAGGAGACTGGGAGTAGCAGAATAGGATTGCCTTTGAGCTGTTGCAGCCTAGCTAGGGCAAGGGGAGCTGCAGTTGGGCCATGTGGTCCGCATCGTATTCCACTAGGTCCCCGTTGTACACCAGGTACGGTCCTGGCGTCTCTAGCAGGTGCCTGCAGCCTTCCACCTTCTCAAGCAGGGTGGTGAGAGCACGCTGCTTTCCTTCCTTGCCCGGCGGGGATCGGAGCCATCGCGGGAGGCGCCCGCGGGGGTTGTAACTAATTAATTAGGTGAAATGCAAGTATCTGCTAACCAAGGGGGGTATACTTTCATGAAAGCCATCTGCCAACTGAGTTAGTGTGAACTGCCCAAGAATGTGTAAGGACTTGGGCATATTTGGCCAATGTAACACATTTTTATGGTGATTGTTTTCTAGGTGTGCTGGGATATGCAGCTATGAAGGGAAGGGTGGAATGTGTTCCATCCGTCTCAGCGAACCCCTTTTGAAGTTGAGGCCAAGAAAGGATCTTGTAGAGGTATTTTTCGTGTAAACTTGCTTCCTAGCGCAGTAATTTACAAATACTTGTCAATGATTTAGACTGCTGTGAATTCGCCTGTATGTATCGTTAAAAAAAGTCACTTTGCCCTCAGTGAAAGCTTGAATTATGGGGCAAACAATAATGAACACCTTATGTTTTTTATAGTGCTTCATAGTAAAAAAAAAAAAAACAAAAAAAAGGCTTCTAGGGGCCGGGCACGCTGGCTCACGCCTGTAATCCCGACACTTTGGGAGGCCGAGGCGGGCGGATCACGAGGTCAGAAGATCAAAAACATCCTAGCCAACACGGTGAAACCCCGTCTCTACAAAAAAAAAAATACAGAAAATTAGCCGGGCGTGGTGGCCGGCGCCTGTAGTCCCAGCTACTCGGGAGGCTGAGGCAGGAGAATGGCATGAACTGAGGAGGCGGAGCTTGCAATGAGCCGAGATCGCGCCACTGCACTCCAGCCTGGGTGACAGAGCAAGACTCTGTCTCAAAAAAATAAAAGCCTTCTAGGTATATTATCTGTTTTGATTTTACAACAGCCCTGTTTATGTTCATGTGTTGCTGTTTTCATTTTTATGAGTAAAGAAATTAAGGTTCAGAGAGGTTAAGTAACTGGCTTAAGTTACTTATTTAGAAACAGAGAAAACAGGATCCACATGTTCCTGTTGAGAAACACAAATTTTGATTCTCCTCAGTTGGGCTGCAACACTGCTGTGCTCTCAGGACACCTAGCTGAGCTGGCAGCACAAACCAGTGTGAGGGCACGCTTCACATTTAGAGCTGGTACTTACTTCTGCTAGCAGAATGGAGCAGTGGGAGCTGAGGCAGGAGGATCTCTTGAACCCGGGAGGCGGAGGTTGCAGTGAGCCGAGACCGTACCATTGCATTCCAGCCTGGGCAACAAGAGCGAAACTCTGTCTCAAAAAAAAAAAGAAAGAATTATCTGTACAAAAGAGCACAGTGGTAGTTTCTGAGCATGGGGTGGGAAGCATGTTAAAACATGCTTGGAGATGAGAGATGCTGTTTTTAAGGATAATAAAAGGCAATGGATTACATAACAGTGTGAATATACTCAACACTGAACTGTACACATAAAAATGGGTAAGTTGGGGAATTTTGTTAATTTTTTTTACCACAGTTTGTTTAAAAAGTAGCTACTAAATGTAAAGTGGTACAGTAGAAATACTTGATTAATGAAAAAGAACAGAGCTCAGATGATAAAGAGAAAGGTAGGTGTAAACAAAATATCAGTTAAATGTAAGTGGACTAAACACTCCATTAAATACATGGAATGGCATGCTAGATTAAAAGAGACATGCTTACAGTAAAGACACACTTATTTTAAGTTTAAAAGGATGAGGAAAAGTAATCATCCAAACACTTAAAAGCAGAAAACTATTGTGGCTATAAGGTTGAGTACTCATTATCCAAAGTGGGACCAGAAGTGTTTCAGATTTTTTTTTTTTTTACTTTGGAATATTTGCATTATACTTACTGGTTGAGCTTCCCTAATCCAAAAGTCCCAAATCTGAAATGGCTTTAGTGAGCATTTCCTTAGAACTTAACCTTTAATCATCTTGTAAGTGCTCAAAAAGTTTTAGATTTTGGAGCATTTCAGATTTTGGATTGTCAAATTAGGGATGTTCAACCAGTATTAGTATCAGACTAAAGACTTCAAGGGAAGAAGTTTTACTAGAGGAAAAGTGGGATATTTTATAATAATAAAATAATCTATTAAGCAACAATACATAATCTCTCCAAAAGTAATAACATAACTTTAAATTTTATGAGGCATAAATTAGCAGAAGCAAAAAGAATATACAATCAGGCTGGGTGCGGTGGCTCACGCCCATAATCCCAGCACTTTGGGAAGCTGAGACAGGCGGATCACTTGAGGCCAGGAGTTTGAGACCAGCCTGACCAACATGGTGAAACCCCGTCTCTACTAAAAATACAAAAATTAGCTGCGTGTGGTGACACAGCCTGTAGTACCAGCTACTCAGGAGGCTGACGCACAAGAATCGCATGAACTCGGGAGGTGGAGGTTACAGTGAGCCGAGATCACACCACAGCACTACAGCCTGGGGTGACAGAGCAAGACCCTGTCTCACTACAGCCTCAACCTCCCAGGCCCAAGCAATCCTCCCGCCTCAGCCTCCCAAAGTGCTGGGATTACAGGTGTCAGCCAAGACACCCAGACTCATACTTGAAGAATGTTAACACAACCTTCTTAGTAACCCAATGAATAAGCGGAAAAAAATAATACACATTTTAAAAAGTTGAACAGCATGATTAACCAAATCAGCCTTAGAAGGAGCCCTAACTGGAAGAGTTGCTTAATGAATATGTATTGGGTAAATGATTACATAAACACATGAGAAAAAAATGTTTTTAAGTAGTGGGTGAGAAGAGAATGGGGAATGTATAATAGTATCAAGTGAGCATTTCCTGTTGGCAGAAAGTTACAAAATGACATTTTCGTCAATGACAGGCCCCATATATAACAGTGGTCCCATAAGATTATAAGACCATATTTTTATTTATTTATTTATTTTTATTTTTTGTTTTTTGAGATGGAGTTTTGCTCTTGTTGCCCAGGCTGGAGTGCAATGATATGATCTCGGCTCACTGCAGCCTCCGCCTCCCTGGTTCAAGGGATCCTCCTACCTCAGCCTCCCAAGTAGCTGCGATTAAAGGTGTGCGCCACCACGCCTGGCTGATTTTTGTATTTTTAGTAGAGGCGGGGTTTCACCATGTTGGCTGGTCTCAAACTCCTGACCCCAGGTGATCCTTCTGCCTCAGCCTCCCAAAGTGAATGGGATTACAGGTATGAGCCACCATGCCCGGCCAGGACTATATTTATTTATTTTTTTTTTGAGATGGAGTCTCGCTCTGTTGCCCAGGCTGGAGTACAGTGGCGCATCTCCACTCACTGCAAGCTCCGCCTCCCGGGTTCAGGCCATTCTCCTGCGTCAGCCTCCCACATAGCTGGGACTACAGGCACCCGCCACCATGCCAGGCCAATTTTTTGTATTTTTTTTACTAGAGACGGGGTTTCATCATGTTAGCCAGGATGGTCTCAATCTCCTGACCTCGTGATCCGCCCGACTCAGCCTCCCAAAGTGCTGGGATTACAGGCGTGAGCCACCACACCTGGCCAAGACTATATTTTTATTGTACCTTTTTTCTTCTTTATATTTAGTTGCACAAATACTTACCATTATGTTGCACTTGCCTACAGCATTCAGTACAGTAACATCCTGTGCAGGTTCGTTGCCTAGGAGCGGCAGGCTATACTCTATAGCCTAGGTATATATACTCTATAGCCTAGGTATATACACTCTATAGCCTAGGTATATATACTCTATAGCCTAGGTATATATACCCTATAGCCTAGGTATATATACTCTATAGCCTAGGTATATATACTCTATAGCCTAGGTGTGTGTATATATATATATATATTACATAGGCTATACCATTTAGGTTTGTGTAAGTACACTCTTAAGATGTTTGCACAATGACAAAATTGCCTAACAATGGATTTTTCAGAACATATCCCTGCCAAGTGAGGCACAACTGTAGTTACCTAAATCATAGAGAAGGGGGTTCAGAAAAGGAACAGACTTTATCTGGTTGAGGAGGTCAAGAAAAGCTTTATAACTGTACATTTTGTTACTACCATCACCACTCCTGCTGCTCACTATTGAGCACCTATTGTGTGTCAGACTTTGGACTAAACGTCGTCTTTACCACAGCCATGCAAAATGAGGATATCCCATTTTAGGGATGAGGAGCCACTTGGAGCCTGTCCCAGGTCTCATGCTGTGATTGTGGGTTTAGGTTCCAGTTTCCCTGACTCTAAGGCTCTTGTTCTGTCCCCTTTACCATTCAACTCATCACTCCTGCGATTAAAACATGGAGAGGTGAGCATTAAAGGACGAATTGTACTTTTGACAAGCAGAGATAGGACAGGAGGCTACTCTTGGCAGAAAGCATGGGAATAATGTGAACAAAAGTGAGTTCAGACAACTGGGGGCATATTTAGGACTAGAGGTAGTTCATTTTAACCCGATAGAACAGTCATGGAAAACAGAGGTATTTTGGGACTGTGTTGTGTATAGATCCTTGAATTAAGACTAAATATGGAAAATGATAGATATTTAAAAAGTTCAGTACCATTTTCAAGATGTTTTTTAATGTTTAATTAAATTGAACCAAAAATCAGGAACCTAAATTTGTTTCTCCTTTATGAGAATAGATCTTTATCATTGCTCTAATTTAGAACATTGAGAAACTTTTGCAGTACCTTTCTTGAATTTGAGTCTTCTTCGTTGAGCGGCATTTACTTGAAAAATAAAGTTCTGGCTGGGTACAGTGGCTCATGCACGTAATCAGATAGATGGATTGCTTGAGCCCAGGAGTTGACCTGTCTGGGTAAGATGGTGAGACCTTGTCTCTACAAAAAATTGAAAAAAAATTAGCCAGGTGTGGTGACATGCGCCTGTAATCCCAGCTGCTCAGGAGGATGAGATAGAGGGATCCCTTGATGCCAGGAATTTGAGGCTGCAGTGAAATATAATCATGCCACTGCACTCCAGTCTGGGTGAAAAAGTGAGACCCCATCTCTGAGAAATAATAAGATAAATAAATAAAGTTCCTTTTAAGAGATACAGTTGATAATTTTTAGAGGGATATATGAATGACCAAGTTAAAATGTTTGATTCTCTCATTTTTCTGTTCAGCATAATTTTATAAGACTAAAATTCATTAATGACAGTCTAGTTCTTCTGATGGAAATTGTTTTTTAAAAAAATTATGGAGGATCATGAAAAAGGTATGTCTTTGAAGATCTTTCTGATTTTTGCTTAAAAAAATTATTTATATTTTTTAGAGCAAAAACCCCAGCAATCTTAAATGCTTTTGTTAATTTTGCACAGAAACTTGTGCATCTTTGGTGTGGAATGAGCAGTAGGTTTTAGTGTTTGTTTCAAGTTTTCATGATTTCTGAATCAAAACCCAAAAGCTGTAGAAAGCTATACACAAAGATGTCTTGTTCAGTGTCCTCCTCTATCTTGAACTCCTTACTTGCTGTAGGAGCTGTTAGTTTCTTTTCATTTTTCTGTTTTGCAAATATTTCTATTCATTTTTATTCCTCCTCCCCACCATACAAAATTTTTCTTACACAAAATACTATGTACATTCTTCTGTACTTTGTCTTTTTCTTTTTCTTTTCTTTTCTTTTCTTTCTTTCTTTCTTTGTTTCTTTCTTTTTTTTTTGTTGCCCAGGCTGGAGTGCAATGGCATGATCTCGGCTCACTGCAACCTCTGCCTCCCAGGTTCAGGTGATTCTCCTGCCTCTGCCTCAGCCTCCCGAGTAGCTGGGATTACAGGCGCCCGCCACCATGCCTGGCTAATTTTTGTGTGTTTAGTAGAGACGGGGTTTTACCATGTGGGCCAGGCTGGTCTTGAACTCCTGACCTCAGGTGATCCACCTGCCTCGGCCTCCCAAAGTGCGGGGATTACAGGCATGAGCCACTGTGCCCAGCCCCCTGTCTTTTTCATTAATACGCTCTATAGCTTTCTCCAAACCATTTCATGTAGATCCTTCTCATTCTTTTTTGTGGCTGCATAGAATTCCATTATATGGATGTATAAAACACTGGAGTTATTTCTAATCTTTTGCTGTTATAAGCAGTGTCACAGTGAATACACCTTGTGCATATGACCTTGCATGCTAGTCTAGGTATTGCTCTCTCAGAAGACAAATGCATTTGTAATTTTGTTAGATGCTACCAAATTTTCCATAGGAGAATTGCACTCCCACCAGCAGTATATAGGAATGTTTATTTTCCCTTAGCTTTACTAATGGTGTCAAACTTTAGGAGTTTTACCAATCTTGATAAGCAATAAATAACATCCTAGTGTAGTGTTGGGTTTTTGTGGGGGTTTTTTGTTTTTTGAGACAGGGTCTTGCTGGGTTGTCCAGGCTGGAGGTAATCATAGCTCACTGCAACCTTGAATTCATGGCCTCAAGTGATCCTCCCATCTCCGCCTCCTGAGTAGCTAGGACTACAGATGCACAAGCTAATTGTTTTATTTTTATTTTTATTTTTTTGTAGAGACAAGGTCTCACTATGTTGACCAGGCTGGTTTTGAACTCCTGGCCTCGAGCAATCCTCCCACCTCAGCCTCCCAAAGTGCTGGGATTACAGACATGAGCCACCACGCCTGACCATCCTAGTGTAGTATTAATTCGCATTTCTCTTTTTATAAATAAAGTTGGGCATTTTTTCTTTTCTTTTCTTTTTTTTTTTTTTTTTTTTTTTTGAGATGGAGTCTTGGTCTGTCATCAGGCTGGAGTGCAGTGGTGCATTCTCGGCTCACTGCAACCTCTGCCTCCCAGGTTCAAGCAATTCCCCTGCCTCAGCCTCCTGAGTATACTGCTCGGACTACAGGCGGGCGCAACTATGCCCAGCCAAAATTTTTTTTTTTTTTTTTTGTATTTTAGTAGAGACAGGGTTTCACCATGTTGAGCAGGATGGTCTCAATGTCCTGACCTCGTGATCCGGAAGTTGGGCGTTTTTTCATTTGTTTGTGGGTCATTTATACTTCTTCTGTGAACTCCATGGTCTTTGCCCATTTTGAAATTGGGTTGTCATTCCCTGTTGACATTAGGAGCTCCTTGTATATTAGGAATAGCCTGTGATAAGAGTTATACATATATTTTTCTGAGTTTGTCTTTTTACTTGGTGTTTTTTTCCTATAGAATTTTAAAGTTTTGTCTGGGTGCAGTGGCTGACGCCTATAATCCCAGCACTTTGGGAGGCTGAGGCGGGCAGATTGCTTGAGGTCAGGAGTTTAAGACCATCCTTGCCAATATGGCCAAACCCCATCTCTACTAAAATACAAAAATTAGCCAGGCATGGTGGTGCACACCTGTAGTGCCAGCTACTCAGGAGGCTGAGGCACGAGAATCACTTGGACCGAGGAGGCAGAGCTTGCAGTGAGGAGAGATTGAGCCACTGCACTCCAGCCTGGGCAACAGAGTAAGACCCTGTCTCAAAAAAAAAAGAATTTTAAAGTTTTTATGTAGTTGAATTCATTGATTTTTCTGGATTTTGATATATAGTCAAAAAGGTCTTCCTAGAACAGGGAGTTCTTAACCTGTGATTTTCAGAGCTTTAGATGTTACACAAATTTGAGTACCCCTTCTCTGAAATGCCTGGGACTAGAAGTGTCTTGGATTTCAGATTTATTTGGATTTTGGAATATTTGTGTTATTCTTACAGGTGGAGCATCCCAAATCTGAAAATCCGCAATGCTCCAATGAGCATTTCCTTTTGAGTGTCATGTCATTGCTCAAGAGTTTCTGATTTTGGAGCATTTTGGATTTTCAGAGTTGGGATGCTCAACTCATATGCAATATTTTGTGAATGAGTGCTTATATAATTTTTATAGAATGAGGTGGGTTTTTTGTTGTTGTTGTTTTGTTTTTGTGAGACAGTGTCTCATTCTGTCCCCCAGGCTGGAGTGCAGTGGCACAATCACAGCTCACTGCAGCGTCAACCTCCCCAGGCTCAGAGGATCCTCCCACCTCAGCCTCCTGAGTGTAGCTGGGATTACAGGCATGCACCACCACACCTGGCTAATTTTTGTATTTTTTTGTAGAGACAGGGTTTCGCCATGTTGCCCAGGTTGGTCTCCAACCCCTGGGCTCAAGTGACCCTCCCACCTTTGCCTCCCAAAGTGTTGGGATTACAGGTGTGAGCCACTGCACCCGGCCTAGAATGAGTTTTATCAGTTCTGAAGGAAGCCTGTGATACAGAAAAGGTTAGACACCAGATAGAATAAGAAAATTTATATTTTCCAAAGTGTCATACAGACTCTAAAACTAATTTGAATATTTTATGTTCCAGACCCTCCTGCATGAAATGATACATGCCTATTTATTTGTCACTAATAACGACAAAGACCGAGAAGGGCATGGTCCAGAATTTTGTAAACATATGCATCGCATCAACAGCCTGACTGGAGCCAATATAACGGTATAGAAAGCCATATCTATTTATGATGTTTAGTAGTTGTTTATTCAATAACTCCTGAGATTTAATTAAAAGTAGAGAACTAGGTAGAAACAAGTATCTTTGAGGATTTTCCACAGCGAACGAGAGGCCTAGAGAAGCAAATTGGCTTGTCTGGGACTACATGGTGGAATGGCAGCAGAGCCAGTGATATCCCTGAGGCCTCTGACCTCTTCTGAGTCAACATTTTACACACAGGTAATTCAGGCCTGCAGTACGTCACTTCTGGAATCATCATGATCTCTTAACTTTGTTTCCTTATTATTGTCTTTTTTAGTCCATCCTGTATCCTGCTACCATTGCAGATGTCATTCCCTCATCAGAATTCTTCTTTGATTCATATCTCTGTATAGCATTGTAGGAGATAGCAAAGCCTCAGGTTCAAAAAGCTGGAGGCGTCAGGCTGCTTGGATTCAAATCCTGGCTCCACCAATTATTAACTTTCCTATGCCTCATTTTATACCCATGGCAAATGAGAGTAGTAACAATACCTATCTGTTGGATCCTTGTGAGGAGAAAGGATTAAAGGAGAAAGCACATCAAAACATTTTAGCCCAATCTGACACTAATTAAATATTAGTTTTATTGTATTCATTTTATTAAATAACCTTGTTCCTTTTTTACTGCCTCCAACTCTGCTGCCTGTGTCCTGTCTCTTTAACTGCACTTTTGACCTCCCTGCCTTTCCTCAGGTGTAGCTTCCCTGAGGCGTGCCACTGCTCTGTTTTGTGTCCGAATGCTTTTCATCGTTCCAGTGGCATCTCATTTCTCCCTCTTTTGAATCCTCAGCAGATATTTAAGCTATTACAATTTTTTATGCTACTTTCATACTTTTGAACGCAGGGTAGGTCTTGCCCATCTTTATAGTACATCTGTATAAGGTGTATAATGTACTGAATTGAATATTAATAGGATAGATTAAATTCTTTCTTATGTTTGGGTATTTCCTTCCTTTAAAAGGCAACAAAATCCACTGTGATAGAAAATGAACAGTGCTCAACCGCCATGTTTTGTTTATTTATTTATTTAAGATAGGGTCTTGCTCTGTTGCCCAGGCTGGATGCAGTGGTGCATTCATAGCCCACTGCAGATTCAACCTCCTGGGCTTAAGTGATCCTCCCACCTCAGCCTCCTGAGTAGCTGGGGCTACAGATGTGTGCCACCATGTCAAGCTAATTTAAAAAAAAATTTTTTTTTTTAGAGACAGGGTCTCACCATGTTGCCCAGGCTGGTCTTGAACTCATGGGTTCAAGTGATCCTCCCATCTCAGCCTCCCAAAGTGGTGGGATTATAGACATGAGCTACCATGCCTGGCCTCTCCATGTATTACTATTTTCTAGCTATCAGTTTTAATTTTCTAAAGACTTCATTTCATTATTAGACACAGTTACTTCAACATTAGGAAAGTGTCTTGCAGTTTTTAAAAAAATCAGACATAAAATCCGGGTTAGCAAGAGAATTATAGACTTGCTTGTATAAAATACATTAAGTTTCTTAACCAGAACTTATACTTTAAGCAAAGCCCTTGTATACGTCCCATTGTTCAGCTGGAAGAGTATCTGTTCTTTTATCTTAGATATCTGTGTGTTTTTATTTAGGAGAGGTTGTAAGGAGTGAACACTCCTTGCTTTTACAGGTTACATCCTGTTATAAGGAACTCTGCAGGGTATCTACATTGTAGAGTAATTTTATTTTAGTGACTACATTGTTAAAAGTCACATTCCCAAGCGTTAGGAGTTACAGGAATTGGAAGCAGAACAGATCCAGGCTGGGTGTGGTGGCTCACGCCTGTAATCCCAGCACTTTGGGAGGCCGAAGTGGGAGGGTAACTTGAGCCCAGGTGTTTGAGATCAGCCTGGGCAATTTAGTGAGACCTTGTTTCCACAAAAAAAATTCAAAAATTAGCTAATCGTGGTAGCTCACGCCTGTATTCGCGGCTACTCGAGAGGCAGAGGTGGAAGGATCACTTGAGCCTGGGAGGCGGAGGTTGCAGTGAGCCAGGTTCATGCCACCTCACTCCAGCCTGGGCAAACAGAGCAAGTCCATGTCACAGAACAAACAAACAAAACAGATCCATTTGTCTCTCTTTTTGGGTAATGAATTAAGAGTTCTGAACATAATAGAGTGCGTGGTTTCCCGTGCTTCTTTGCCTTAAAACCTATGTCCTTCAGTCCC
Organism: Homo sapiens; assembly: GCF_000001405.40. Classification (NCBI taxonomy): domain Eukaryota; kingdom Metazoa; phylum Chordata; class Mammalia; order Primates; family Hominidae; genus Homo; species Homo sapiens. Next base: position 231,350,137 of record NC_000001.11, read on the forward strand.
TTCTGCATTTAATATAATGTGCATTCTTTGCATGCTTACCAAGTAGAAATTTTTTGCTTAGGATGGAGCGATAGTGAGTTTAAAACTATCTATAGAGTTATAGAAAGCTTAGCATTCTTTCCCACAAGGGGAATTTATTAGAAAGCTAAATGTCTTTGGTAAAACACCAAAATCTTACATACAGATGCTTCTCACTCTTACACAGAGAGTTCCACTGAGAAGGCAGAAGAATAAGGTGCCCATAGTCATTTAGGAGTCATTTCAAATGGTGCTCTATAGTCTTCAGTGCCACCATGCTGGGAGGGCTGACCCTCTTTTCAGTCAGGTCTTTTCCCTTACCTGTTTTCTGCTTGGGTTCCAAATAGGATTTTTGTCTAGAGGGTGAAAAAGAAGGCATCCTACTTAAGGCCTGAAAAGCACACTTCAGAGAATTTTATTTGACTCAATGAATGATGCTTTTCTGACTGAGCACCTTCTTGGTGCCAAAAGCACTATATTAGCCACTAGGGACACAAAAAATTAAAACATTCAGATCCTGGAGAACTTTTCAGTCTGGTAATAGAAATATTTATAAACAGATAAAATGGTACCTCATAAGGCTTATTACAGAGACATAAGCACAGAACTTGGAGAATGTGGAGAGTGAGCTTAGCAGAAGCTTCACTGGGTAAGATACTTGTGTTGTTAGCGTCAGTCAGGCATTTATAGGGAGTAATGTAGTCCTTTAGAACCCTTTGCTATTTTTACTTATAGGGAAAACTTCAATTTAGCAGTGGGAATGATTCTTATTTTAGTATGGTATTACATAAAATCTTATCTTTATCCTAATTTTTGATCATTTACAAATTTGATTTCTGAAACTTTTAGTGTTCATGAAGATTTTCTGTGGTTTTGTTTTTAAAAGATTTTTTTGTCCTCTAATCCCATGTGCATCTATCTTTACACAGTTTATGAAGTATTAACTGCTGCTGTTTCCCATTAAAATCAACTTTTGAACAGAAACTAAATATAGTTGCTTTCTCTCCTAAAATAGAACTTTTCAGAAAGCTCTGGGAAAGTTTCAAAAATTAAAAAAAAAAAAAAAAAAAAAAAAGACTGCTTATGTAAATTGTTTTCTTGCAGTTGTTAACTTGCTTATTGAATACTAAAAATTCTGTCTCCACTCAGGTATACCATACTTTTCACGATGAGGTGGATGAGTATCGGCGACACTGGTGGCGCTGCAATGGGCCGTGCCAGCACAGGCCACCGTATTACGGCTATGTCAAACGAGCTACTAACAGGGAACCCTCTGCTCATGACTATTGGTGGGCTGAGCACCAGAAAACCTGTGGAGGCACTTACATAAAAATCAAGGAACCAGAGAATTACTCAAAAAAAGGCAAAGGAAAGGCAAAACTAGGAAAGGAACCAGTATTGGCCGCAGAGAATAAAGGTACCTTCGTGTATATTCTTCTGATTTTTATGTGACCATAGCTATGATGTAAAGACAATACTGTCCTTCAGAGAACTGGTATTAAGATAAACTTAAGGATCGTTTCTGGTGTAGAAGTCTTCAAGTGTAGACTTAAGGAAAAAATCCCACTGTCCATGAAATGATGGTAGGAAAACAGACTTTGCTCTGTACAGAAGTAAGTAAAAGTAGGAATAGTTTCCATGGATATTTTTATTTTTATTAACTTTTTTCAGTTTCTTTTTATTCAAAGAAACAAAATTCAATCTCTGATAATATTTGAGGTAAAGTTCCTTTCCCTATCTTGACTCACTGAGTTATTAGGAAACAGAAGGCAAAAAGATTGTCAAAATAAAAACAATAATTCAAGTAACAATGCCCGGAATATACGTCCTAACTACACCCCTTCCTATCAGCTGGATTCTATCCAAGTGACTCTATTGATGTATGTATGTTCATTCAAAGAATGGGAAAAGGATATGACATATATTTGCCAGTACTTCATCTTCAAGATTTACCCTTTTCCTGTGAAGTTCAGAGTTACTGAAGATGCTTCTTCCCTTGGGAAGTTGTTGACCCAAGAACATAGGTTATATTTCCCAAATCTTTAATTATTGAGTGAAAGAGCTATAGATGAATTGATATGGAAAGACCGTATCTTCATTTTCGTGAGTAGAAGGAAAGATAAGAATGAGGCAGCAGATTTTCCCTCCTGGAATTACACATAAAGGACACTAAGCAATTTTCAAGGTAAATGTTGCCTTGTTGTTGGTCTTTGGCATGATAAGATTCTTTATTTAAATATGAGAGAATTTTTTTTTATCCTTTATATTCTCTCAATATCAGAACTCCTGAATTCTGAAGATTGCCCTCCTCCCATTAATAGGATTGTATGGATGTAAGATGGAATAAAATACTAGTTCTTCATTTTGAGAAAACTGTACATTAGTTTAATGTTTGTTACTGTATTTCTTTTGAGTTGAGGCACTTACATAACAATCTTCTTTGCTTTTTTGGCAGATAAACCCAACAGAGGTGAGGCCCAGCTAGTAATCCCTTTTAGTGGGAAAGGATATGTTCTAGGAGAAACAAGCAATTTACCTTCACCTGGGAAACTGATCACTTCACATGCCATTAATAAAACCCAAGATCTTTTAAATCAAAACCATTCAGCAAATGCTGTAAGACCTAATTCTAAAATCAAGGTGAAATTTGAACAGAATGGTTCAAGTAAAAATTCTCATCTGGTCTCCCCTGCTGTTAGTAACAGTCACCAAAATGTTCTAAGCAACTACTTTCCTAGAGTATCATTTGCCAACCAAAAGGCTTTCAGAGGTGTGAATGGATCTCCAAGGATAAGTGTAACAGTTGGCAACATCCCTAAAAACTCAGTCTCTTCTAGTTCTCAGAGAAGGGTTTCATCTTCTAAGATATCCCTAAGAAATTCTTCAAAAGTAACGGAATCAGCATCTGTGATGCCATCCCAGGATGTGAGTGGGTCTGAAGATACATTCCCAAATAAACGACCTAGGCTAGAAGATAAGACTGTTTTTGACAATTTTTTTATCAAGAAAGAGCAAATAAAAAGCAGTGGTAATGATCCAAAGTATAGTACAACCACAGCTCAGAATTCCAGCAGTTCATCCAGTCAGAGCAAAATGGTTAATTGCCCAGTTTGTCAGAATGAAGTTCTGGAGTCTCAGATTAATGAGCACTTGGACTGGTGCCTTGAAGGTGACAGCATCAAAGTCAAAAGCGAAGAAAGTCTTTGAAAAAGGTTTCAAAGTCTCAAGTACCACCTGTATTATCTCACTAATGTGCTATGTCAGCCAGTCAGGAAGTTCTGGTTAATACTAAGATTTGTAGGTTATAATCTAGTTCACATAACCAATAGAAAGTGTCCTATTTTATATATACGCATATAAGATTGTAATTTTAAGATGTTTTGTGTCTCAGGGTGCTACATTCACTCTTGCCTTAGGTATACTGTAACCCAGGTTCTGCCTGTCGTGTATAAGTTTTAGATACTTTTGTTCTTTCTTGCTCTTAAGGATTTTAAAAACCTGTTAATCTTTTTATTTGTATACTTTCCTAAAAATATTCATATGGGGAATCCTGTCAGGTGTTTGGTTATATTGACTATTTATTAATAGTATTAGAACTCATTCCCTGAACTGATGTAAATCTTCATAGTGTCAGACATACTGACCAAAACCACAATCTAGACTACAAAGTATATTGTTTTAGAGTACTCAAATTGTATTATTTATTAATTTTTTTGTTTGCAAAATCTTAACAGGAACTGTATTTTCTATATTTTAAAGAATTTTATTTGTCCCACTTTTACTAAACAGTGGCAGCAGATTTTAAGTTAAAGAATATGGAATATAGTAAAATAAGTAAATTTCTTTTGGAATATTTTTAGTAACAAATAGCCACTATAATTCTGTAGGCCAAATTTTATATTGAGTTTAGCTGTTTTCTCAAAATTTAGCAGAGTGGTTAAAATTCTGTGCTGATAAGTAACTGATACATATAACATAAACATAACAAAGTTGCCTAGTTGATGTAACAGTGGAAAGTTATCTGGAAATAGTATTTTGAACTTTAAGCCAAGTTTAAAACATTATAATAAAAGGAATACCATTTGTGCATTTTAAGTAATCTTTTTTAAAAAAAATATTTTCCATGTTATAGGGAAAGGACAAAGAGACTTTTATCAGTTTGCTTTTTGTCTTGTGGCTGTACATGCTGTTGGCATAGCCCTAACACAGTTGTTCACAAGTTTTCTTTTTTCTTGTTGCAATTTTCCTTCACTTTGTTGTAATACAGGTGCACAAATCTTAAGTGCACAGCTGGGTAAACTTTTACAGTGTTCACCTGTGTAACTACCACCCGGATCAAGTTAGAGAACACTTCCATTGCCACAGAAGGCTTCCTATAGGTGTCTGTTCCCAGTTGATACCCATGACCCTCACCACCTCCAGAGGTCCCCACTGTTTTCACCCCATCGTCGCAGATTATTTTTTAATTTTATAATGTAGTATCTTTGTTCCTATGTATAGCAGGAGTTCATTTTCATTGCTCTTGCATTTGTATGAATATACTAGAATTTATTCATCCATTCTAATGTTAATGGACATTTGAATTATTTCCAGTTTGGGGCTGTTAAGCATAATGCTGCTAAGAACATTCTTATCTTTTCTGTTGGGTATATATACAGGAATGGAATTGCTGAGTCACGGGGTATATTTCTGTTTAGCTTTAGTAAATTCTGCCAGTTTACACTCCTACCAGCAATGTATGAGAGTTTTAGTTGTTCACCATTCATAACACTGTTAGCAGCCCTTTTCGTTTTAGACTGGTTGGCTGTTCACAAATTTTGATATTCCTTAAAGCATTAAAACATTTTAATAAATACTTATAAATAGGTATTAAAATGTATATTATGTTCAATATATAGTTATATTTTCATAGAGGATCATTTCTCTAAATGAATGTAACAAATTATGTGTAATTAAATGCTTCCTGAGCCAAAACCACACAAGGTTCTGGGGCTGTGAAGTAGCTGAGATGGTCCATGTCCTCAAGGAGCTTTACAGCATAGTTGGGGAGTAAGACAAATGCACATTAATCTCCTTAGAGTTTGCTAAGTGCTATGACAAGGGTTTTTGCTGGGTGCTGTGGGTAAACTGTAGGAAGAAAAATTAGCTCTGCCCAGGACTTCGGGGGATGTTTCTTGGAGGAGACAACATCCAAAGTTGAATCATGTAGAGTGAGTCGAGTTAGCCTGGTTAAAGAAGGGTGGGGAAGAACCTTTCAAAGGGAAGAAGGAACACAAAGTCATGTTCCGAGGGAACTGAATGCTATTCCAAGTGAATAGAGTAAAATGTGAGGGGCAAAATGGCCAAAGGAGAGATGGCAGATAGGACAGATCTAGCTAAGTAGTACAAGTTTGAGGCCAGGGATCTCATGTTCCTCACTTTATGTCTGGTTTGTGTGATACCTGCTAATAAGCATCTCTTAATTAAGGTGGGGCTTGGAAAGGCTTATAAGCCAGTCGAGGACATGTTGAGAAGTGTTTCCAATGGATTTTTCTGGGGACAGCATAGATAAGAGGGGGAAGGGTAGTGGCAGGGAGGGAGAGGAAGAGACAATTTTTTGAGAAACAGGTAGTAAAGTCAGGAGTTGGTTTCAGGTTCTAGGGAATGATGGAAATAGTTGAGAAAATGGAACTCAATTTGAAATAAGCCTTACTACATCTGTTAAACACTTGAGAAAATTTGCACCCTAAAAATTCTGATATTCCCCCAAATATGTCATTCATAATAGAGACATAGTTTTGTTTCTGTTTAGATTTTCCCTTTTAAAGCCAACTTCCCAACTTAGAAGCAGAGCTGGTAATTCTGGCTCAATCCTTAAATGCTATCCCCCTGCTGTGGGGACATGGGGTCTAGATTCTGTTTTTATAAAACGGTGGGTTTTGGGTTTTTGTTTTGTTTTTTGAGATGGAATCTTGCTCTGTGGCCCAGGCTGGAGTGCAGTGGCACAATCTCGGCTCACTGCAACCTCCGCCTCCGGGGTTCAAGCAATTCTCCTGCCTCAGCCTCCCAAGTAGCTGGGATTAAAGGCGAGCGCCACCACACCTGGCTAATTTTTGTATTTTTAGTAGAGATGGGGGTTTCACCTTGTTGGCCAGACTGGTCTCAAACTCCTAACCTCAAGTGATCTGTCTGCCCTCGGTCTCCCAAAGTGCTGGGATTACAGGCGTGAGCCACCATGCCCTGCGAAAACAGTGTTTATTTTAAGGTCAGTGTTATATGTTACCTAGCCTTAATTTTTACTTTAGAAAATTGTGCTGGGCAGCCGGGCGTGGTGGCTTACGCCTGTAATCCCAGCACTTTGGGAGGCCGAGGTGGGCGGATCACGAGGTCAAGAGATCGAGACCATCCTGGCCAACGTGGTGAAACCCCGTCTCTACTAAAAATACAAAAAATTAGCCGGGCGTGGTGGCAAGTGCCTGTAATTCCAGCTACTCGGGAGGCTGAGACAGAAGAATCGCTTGAAGCTGGGTAGCGGAGGTTGCAGTGAGCCGAGATTGTGCCATTGCACTCCAGCCTGGGCAAAAAGAGCGAAACTGTGCCAAAAAAAAAAAAAAATTGCACTGGGCATGGTGGCTCACGCCTGTAATCCCAGTACTTTGGGAGGCTGAGGTGGGTGGATTACGTGAGATCGGAAGTTTGAGACCAGCCTGGCCAACATGGTGAAACCCCGTCTTTACTAAAAATACAAAAATTAGCCAGGTGTGGTGGCATGCACCTGTAATCCCAGTTACTCAGGAGGCTGAGGCAGGAGAATCGTTTGAACCCAGGAGGCAGAGGTTGCAGTGAGCTGAGACTGCACCACTGCACTCCAACCTGAGTGACAGAGTGAGACTCTGTCTCAAACAACAACAACAACAACAACAAAAAGCTGGGCATGGAGGCTCACGCCTGTAATCCCAGCACTTTGGGAGGCCGAGGCGGGCAGATCACGAGATCAAGAGATCGAGACCATCCTGGCCCACATGGTGAAACCCCATCTCTACTAAAAATAAAAAAATTAGCTACTCAGGAGGCTGAGGCAGGAGAATTGCTTGAACCCAGGAGGCGGAGGTTGCAGTGAGCCGAGATTATGCCATTGCACTCCAGCCTGGCGACAGAGCTAGACTCCGTCTCAAAAAAAAAAAAAAAAAAGAAAATTTTGTTTTGCTTTTTGTAGACTATGGATATGCATATGCATATCCTAACTGGGAATTCTAAAGTGGAAAGGAAAATACTATGACAAAACTTCATACTGTCCCATTGTCTGATAGCTCTGAGATCATACTTTTAAAGCTTACAGGACTTTAAAATACGAACGTCAAAGTGAAACAACTGATGTACCTGCAAAACTAGCACCTAGCTGGACCCTTTCTGGGTGCGTGCAGTGTCAGCTCTTTTTATGTTGTGTTTTAAGTTTTTTATCCTGGTATTGCATTAATCGTGATCCAATGGTTTCCTTTTATTCTTCGTCTCAATTTTTTTTTTGTCCTTAAGGCTACTGTGGACTTTTTAGCAATTTGTTGTAGTTGTTGACTATCGGCATATTCACCAACAGAAGTGAAACTCTTCATATGACAATTATAAATTAAAGTGACTAAGGAGTTGAAATTAGAACAGAATGCAATGTGCAGATTAGCTCTGGCTTTTTCCTAGTATCCCATTAGAATGTTAGAAGTTATAATGATTACATATTTCATCATCACATATCTTTCGAAATGAAGAGTAGAATCTTAAATGACTCTGGACTGTAGTACAGAAGCAAGGTGCCATTTGTTTTCTTCAGTACTGGTGCTAAATTTACCAAGATTTACCATCTTGCTTAGTGAACACTAGGTGGTGCTCTTGGTAAGCCAAACTTCTGGCTGAGCCAAGCCAAGTGGATAAAAGAAACTTGCGACAACTGGAACACTAATTACCAGTTGATTCATAGATAGGAAAGAACAAGTTATGATCTCAAGTTCTGTGAGGGGACACGGCAGGCCAAGAATGTGTGCTTGTTCAAACAAGGACTGATCTACAGAACACTTTAGTCTCCCTAAACCTGTTTTCAAGCATTTCACCTTTCACTCTAAACATGTAACATAGTAGTCTCCTGCAAGAAAGAAACTGGTACCCAGACAGGGCAAAACAAGATCATGCTCAACCGGCTATCTATCTTCTAGACAAGGCAAGACCTGTACTTTTGTACTGTTTCTTATAGTACTCTAAACTATGTCTTTTTGCCTCTACCTGAGAGGTCTGAAAGAGCCAACAGGCAGCTTTTGGATTCTTGGTGTTAAGTGAATGTTAGGGCTGGGTATTCTCATGTTCCATGGTTATACACCTTTGCAAAAAAAAACACCTGAACACTGACTCTTCTCTATACTTCTGAAGAATCAAAGTTATAGGTATATTTTCAAGCTAGAATACTCTTGAGACCTAAATCATTTCCAGGTTGTAAGCATTCCTGGTAAACTAAATATATGATAACCTGGATTTGCATGAAAACTGGGAGGGTATTTTTTTTTTTAAACAAAAGATTTCTCATAGTACTCATATATGTATTTGTACGCCTTTAAAATAATTCAGTAGGTAAATATTGGCTGGGCACGGTGGCTCACACCTGTAATCCCAGGTCTTTGGAAGGCCGAGGCGGGTGGGTCCCTTGAGGCCAGGAGTTTGAGACCAGCCTGGGCAACATGGTGAAACTCCGTTTCTACTAAAAATACAAAAATTAGCCGGGCGTGGTGGTGGGCGCCTGTAATCCCAGGTACTCGGGTGGCTGAGGCACGAGAATTGTTTGAACCTACGAGGTGGAGGTTGCAGTGAGCCGAGATCGCGTCACTGCACTCCAGCCTGGGCGACAGAGCAAGACCCTGTCTCCAAAAAATAAATAAATAAATTATATATATATATATATATATATATATATATATATATATATATATATATATATATAAAATTTGTGTGTATACATATGCATACCTACACACGTCTAAGTGGCTTTATTTTTATATGGACCCACATAAGTTTGTTGTTAACACCAAACAGCCACCTTCATGGGATCCATGTGCAGAGGCTGGAGCCCAGCTTCTCCACATGACGTGAGTCACCCGAATTGTTGGGTTTGTAGATTGGTCTCACTGATGTACGGGATTTCATTGTGCAACTATACCACAAGGGAGCACGTGTGTGTGTCATACTTTCTAACCCTTCGTAACTGTTCTGTTCTTGGCTGCTTCCCTACCTTTTTTGCAATGCCCTTCATTATATTTCCACTTGGTCACCTTGTAGCTTAAATTAATTCATCTTTTTCAATTTCTTTGCTGAGTTACTTCAACTTTTCTCAGCTTCCTCTGTTTTTTCCCCCCCTTTGGTCCATTTTTGTTTTGAGATTTAAATTTCTAATTTCACGTTAATTTTTATTTCTGCAAAGGCCTATTTAATTCATACTAGATATTGGTAGTTTTCTTCTGCCTGTGGTTGAGAATTTTCATCAGCTGTAATTGATTCTCATTTTTTCTTCTAGTAGTTTTTATGGATGTTATCTTCCTTTTTCTGCTCATATTAAAAGGTTTTATTTTCCTTGTCTTGCAAAACCAGTTGGTTCTCTGCAGGCAGGGACAAGGGGTTTGTGTGGCCGAGTTCCTTGATTCAGGAATGTTCTGTTGATAGAGTTAAATGGTACCAGTTAAGTGCTGGCAGTACATGTGCGAGCCACCATACCTGGTCTGTCTTTTCCTTTCTACTGCCACTCTAGGACCCTGCTGCCCCACGTCTTTACCCTCTAGTTTCCACCTGACTCTCAGCCCTCACGAGGGTTCTGACGCTGGCTCTAGTGTCAGATGTGCTTTTCTCTGCCTCCACGTAAATTGAAGTTTTTTGGCCAAGCGTGGTGGCTCAATCCTGTAATCCTAGCAACTTTGGGAGACTGAGGGGGACAGGATCGTTTAAGCCCAGGAGTTCAAGACCAGCCTGGGCAACATAGGGAGACCTCGTCTCTACACAAAGTAAAAAAAATTACCCAGGCATGGTGACAGGTGCCTGTAGTCCCAGCTACTCGGGAGGCTGAGGTGGGAAGATCGCCTGAGCCTGGGAAGTCGAGGCTGCAGTGAGTCCCGATCATGCCACTGCACTCCAGCCTGGGTGGCAGAGCAAGACCTTGTCTCAAAAAAAAAAAAAAAAAAAAAAGACAAAGTTGGATTTTTTTTCTGTCTCATAGATATGCTGCAGGCACAGATTATGGTGACTGCTGTCTTTTGTCTTTATGGTTTTTGGAAGACTACGATAGAGCTTTAGATTTAGGAAGCAGCCAATATTCCTTGGAAAACCAGAAACTCAAGTACCTTCCTCTTAAATGTAAACACACAAGCAAGAGGTACCAGACATTTAAGGAAAACTTCTAGCATGAAAGAAAAAAAATTGAAACAGAAAAAAGTTAAATACTGTATCAATTAAGAGATTATTACATATATTTTCTTAAATTCGAGAACAAAAAAGAGCTCCTGAAATTTAGGAACCTGACAACAGACACCATATACTCACCAGAAGAATGGGAAAACAGATGTCCCCAGTCAAGACAGATACACAGTAACTAGAGAAGAAAATAGGTTCAAACCAGTAGAGGTCCTGCCTGGACAAAGGAGTGCCAGAAAGAGAGAACAGAGAATGGATGGAGAAAATTTAAATGTCCCAAAATGGTGGGGTGATTTTACAGTCTGCATTCCTAGCACAGAGGTTGACAAGTGGCACACATTAAAGCACACTATAAAACTATGGCGCCCTGGGGATAAGAATATTCTATGAGCTTCCACAAAGAAAAAGATTACATATAAAGAATCAGAAATAAGAATGGCTTCAGATTTCTCAGTATCTACACACTGGAACCTAGAACCAGTGAGGCAATGCTTTCAAAATTCTGGAACATGATTTCCAAAGTTACCAATGAAATGTGGTGGTAAAACAAAGATATTGGTCTCAGAAAATTTACCATCCATACATTTCTACAGGAAGTATTAGAGGGCATGCTCCATTCAGTAAACCAAGAAAGATGAAGACATGGGATCCAGGAAACAGGAGAGCTGACCGAAGAGTGGTGAAGGAAATCTCTAGAACACAGGTGAAGGGAGACCCAAGAAAGACAGCTGTGCCCCAGGCGTTAAGAGCAACCAGTCCAGATTGGTGCAAGTTAGAAGCCACAGGGAACAAACGAAAAATCAAGACATTAAGGGAAAAAGTAAGTTGTGGAAGAAAAGTCAAGTCAACATGATTTCCTGTATGTCTCAGCTTTGACTAGCACAGCCATAACAGGAACACGAACCTGATCTCGGTTACAGCATAGGAACAGAAGGAAGACCAGGGGAGATGGATGTCTGCTTGCCTATGTGTGGTAGAGATGGTGGAGGAACCTTGGAGAGAGATCTGCCGTGTGGAGAAGTTAGGAGAAAATGCCTAACACTGAAAAAAATCAAGAGGCAGCAATCCAATTATATTATTTAAACTAATGGGTGGGGAGATATCCAAAGAATCATTTAAAACAGTTGACACTTGTTTTCTCAGGGGAAGAATGTGAGGGACTACTTTTTTTTTTTTAATTAAGAATTTTTAAAGGCAATACTTTTTTTTTTTTTTTTTTTTTGAGACAGAGTCTCATTCTGTTGCCCAGGCTGGAGTGCAATGGCAAAGACTCACCGCAACCTCTGCCTCCCAGGTTCAAGTGATTCTCCTGCCTCAGCCTCCTGAGTAGCTGGGACTACAGGTGTGTGTCACCACACCCAGCTAATTTTTGTATTTTTGGTAGAGACTGTGTTTCACCATGTTGGCCAGGCTGGTCTCGAACTCCTGCCTCAAGTGATCTGCCCGCCTTGGCCTCCCAAAGTGCTGGGATTACAGGCTGAGCACCGTGACCAGCTGGGACTACTGTTTTTCTTAACAACCACAGACAAGTTGATTTAGCCACTCGAACAAAACTAAACAAGGAAAGCTCACACTCAATTCCTGGCTCTCTACCACTTACAAGCTTTGTGACTGTGAGCAAGTCACTTCTCTGATCCTGTTTTAATTACAAATGGAGACAAAATTTGCTTTGCCTACACTTTGCATGTACTAGGGAAAAAAAATGTAAAGGTATTTTGTAGAAGACATTTGGAATAATTTTGGCAGAAAACATCCTAATCTCAATGAAGGCCCTATCTAGTAACTTTCTGACCCCAATGACATCTTGTTCAGAGCAAAAATTATCAATAATTTTTGACAACTGTTTAGTAATTATTCAATAAAAAGAGCTTTAGCTACTTGCAGCTGTTTAGGCTCTCCCCATCTTGTGAAGTGGCTGACATTTAGTGTGTTCTACTTATGAAACTATTTCCAGCTCATGAGGCCATGCCCTTCACACATCTCATTGGTCCCATTGGTCCCATGGTACATACTTGAGCATCGCCATGGTTCAGATAAAATTCAAACCAAAAACATAATCTGAGGGATAAATTCATGACCTGAGAAGTCTAAACAATTATCTTTTGAAGCAATGGAGACTAGTTACTTCTGAATATTTATAAACTAATTGAAAAAATCCAACATACAATTATGTTATTAGATATGACATAAATATGTATCATTGCAGTTCATACCCAAATACAGCTCTCTTTCTTGGATCACATGCACTTTTGCACTTTGGGAAAATAATCTGATGAAGTGCCTTGCACCAGTGACTTAATTTAAATCTAAGCTATAAAATAAGACCTGTCATTAATAAGACAACACTCCTGCTTCCAAATGATTCACATTTACAACTGATAAAACCGTTAGCTATTCAAAGCTCATTGCCCCAATTTTCTCTCTCTGCAATTATGCTATCATATTGTTAAAGGAAAGGGCAATAATCCTCGTTGAAGGCCTACTTTGTTCCATGCATTGTAAGGTACTTTGCACACTGTATTTCATTTAGGTCTCATACAACTGTTTAAGGTGGAAGATGTGCTTTTTGTATATAAAAAAGCACATCTCAAACTTCATCTCAAACTCATTTGCCCTTTACTTCAATCCACCCAGCTATATTTTAGTGTAATTCCCAAATGTTCTAAGAAACGCTGGAAAATAACAAAACACTGTGGAAAATTTTTCTTTAAATAACAGATATATAAACAGGTATTTTGATCTCACCTTAATAAGAGCTCTCATATTTTAGTTATGACCACACAAATTAAACCTTCTTGCATATACACAATGGTACATCTATGACAATTAGAGATAAATGCCTAACCCCACTTCCTTTTGCAGCAGAGGGGTGATACAGATCTGTCAACAGCTATGAATGTTAAAATAATTTTAAAAATCCTACTAAAAGGGCAAGAATTCAAGTGCTGAGAATCCAAACAGACTTCATGGATCCCACAGACAGTCCAATGACCCCAGGGATGTTTCTAAAATTGTTGAACTCCTATGTTTACTGTTCTCTTTCCTTCATTATCATTTACAAAAAGTTATAACAAATGTCCTAGACTAAGCCAGAAAAGCTTTATCTGATGAAAGGGATCATTCGGAAAGCCAATGTATGATAAAGGATTGAAAAACAAAAAAGACAGCTGGAAATAACCACCATAATGTTTCAACAACATTTATACATCTTTTTAATTAGATTAGCTTTACAAGCAACTTGAGAGCTCTTTCATAATGAAACACTGCTTTTCAAATTACATGACTTTATAGTCTATCTGTATATGAATCCTGAAAATCTTTGCCTACTCTTGATAAAGGTCTGTGTTTTACAGCTGGTTAATGTGTTGAATAAAAACAGCATTATGAAGCTTTATCTTTAACCAGGATTAAACACATATAGGCCACAAACAGTTTTAAATTTTGTTTGAAATAGAGTCCTGCTTGGTGACAAGTTAATAGTCCCACTAACATGAAATGAATGGATATTAAATAAATGGCCATCCTGATTTCTTGATCTTTTCACAATGATTCCTAAGAGAGTATATAAACTTTTCCAAAAAATATACAATTTAAGACCTGTCTGGCAAGCACAACCCACAGATAGTAGAATCTAATACTTTTTACAACTGTAGAGGTACACATTTGAATGACAACAGGGGCTCCCAAATTAAAAGGCTGTGGCTGTACATTTTGACAATCAAACAAACCTCCCATCAACATAAAACAATTTCTACTAACCCTAAAAAAGATAATGCTTTTGAGTTGTGGCCTAACGCCGCGCACTGTACTATAGACCAGATGGCAAAGACAACTTGCGCTCCTGGGTTGGGCTGGCAGAGGCACTTACTGTAGAGATGTGATGTTATCATCTGGAAGGAAGGGGAGGAAGTAGAACAAAACTGAATATGGGCGAGGAAAAAACAATAAACTATCACTTTCTCCTGCAAATTCTCCTAAGTGAGATCACTATACTGAACATTCAATCCCATCCTAAGTCCACTGTTGGCTTCACTACACAATTTTTTTCCATGTTTTACATGAATAGCAATGGCAATCTTTTAATAAAAATTACTGAGCTTCCCATAGAAAAGGTCTCAAATTGAATACAAACTATACAGATGCTAAAAATGTCTTAAGTTGAAATATACAGAAAATTTCTGTATACTCACATTTTGGCAAAGAAGATCAAGGACAGAGATAGAAAACCTAAGTGGGCAAGGTCTTACACCCATAATTCACGCAAAATATGGATACCACCCTTTAGGTTTTGCTAAAAAGCCTAGGAAAGTGAAGTCTAAGACATCCGTCCCAATTCATTCTTTAAATAACATGTATGTGAGGCCTTGTGTGATTTTCTAATATTCCTTCCTTGTTTAAAAAGTAAATAAGAAAACCCATGAAACAAAATAAAATTATCTGATTTTGCATCTGTTTTGTTTTTTTCTAAGCTAAGCATCTTTCAGTACAGGTAAGAAGGCTGGCATCACATCTGGGAAATGCCTTAACAGATATCTGAGGAGTTACTGCACATTCCGTCAGTAACACCACACTTCAGTTTCAATGTGTACATAATCTCCCCTTGATGCTCTTCAACAGAGACAAGGTTCTTGTCTGCAGATCAGATAGATCACAGTATTAGGAAAAAAACATAACAGCAAATTTGGAAGTACAATCAATTTAAGGAGAAGCAAAAGGAAAAGACTTAGAAATGGGACATTATTGTCTACATCTAGAGGATACATACACCTGAAAGCTTAAGAAAGCCCTTATCTTAGGAACTTGAAGCTGAGGATAATCTCAAGTTCACTTAGTGCCAGTCACTTTAGTTTTTTAAAAAATTTAACTTAAACCCCAGCCTAGGCAACATGGCAAAACCCCGTCTCTACTAAACATACAAAAATTAGTCAGGCATGGTGGTGTGTGCCTGCAGTCCCAGCTAGTTGGGAGGCTGAGGTGGGAGGATTGCTTGAACCTGGGAGGCGGAGGTTGCAGTGAGCCAAGAATGCACCACTCCCCTCCAGCCTGGGTAACAGAGCAAGACTGTCTCAAAAAAACAAAACAAAACAAAAAAATTTAAACTCTTCTTGTGTCTTTTTCCTTGTAAAACATTAACTAAAAGTTATTGGTAGTAAATGGTGACTGTTTTACAATTAGGTTTCGTTATTGACAATGTCAAAAAAAAAGCAGCAATCTTTAACAGTTCAAATTAGTGTAAGGAAGGACTACAAAACAATCTGATTTTTCAGTTGTAATTAAAGTGCTCCTTTTCTTATTTTAAGTAAAATAAAATTAATCATCAGTCACTGGCAACAATCATTATTAAGAGGTCTTTTAGGGCAAAATTTAATAGTATGAACAGGTTTACAAAAATAGATTGATGTTATTTTGAGGAATAATACTGTAATTTTTTCTCAATTCAGTTTAGATAAATTGTACCTAATATAGAAAAATTATCCCAAATTCAAACTTGATATAAAAAAGGGAGAGATGAAATGAACTCAGCTAGATAACAGATCTGGCAAAATATAAGAATGAAAAAAATTCTACACAGGGCACTTATTTCATATCCAGATGTAAAAACCATTTTCAATTAGTAGCTTATCTTCCTCCTGTAAGCAATCACAGATTTGAAGTTGATCATGCAGTACAAAGTCACAGCAGTCAAAATCTTCTGTTTGATGCAACACAAAAAGTTGTTTCTGTTTCCTTATTAAAATGCGAACTGGTTGTCTATTTTTCTTTATCCCATTTATTCGTATTCACAAGTTAACAAATAGTTAACAATATTGTAGGTGAAGTGGGGTATTGCTGGATCAAAGGCTCTAGAAGACGTCTTTACCGACCGAATCTGAAGGTTTATTGAGTTCAACCCTCACACCTTTTTCACCTGCAAGGTAAAAAAAAAAAAAATTTTCATTCATTCACTAAGCACCAGAGAGCTTCTGCTACTGCATTCCACTGAATTCCTAAGAGTATGGACAATATTTCAACTTTGCAAACATCATCTGAGAACTATCACGCTTGTACTTCCAAAAACTTCCCTCAGCATTCTATTGTGATGAGGTTTCAAATAGTAAACCTTCAAGGATAAAACCATCCTCTACACAGAGATAATGATTTTGTCTTTTTATTTTAAAAGCCATTTGAGTTTCTTCAACAGAGTGTTCAGTGTCTCTGAAAGCACACTGAGCTTGTGCCACAAATAATGGCTTTAAAAATACATAGAAAATGCATGAATATTCCATTTTTATGTAAGGTCGACGTGCGATTAGCAATGGCTCTGGAAAACACAGCTAATCAGTAATGTGAATACTCAGTGGATTTTTGGAGATAGAAAGTAGAGTTAAAGAAAAGAAGGTAAGTGGTCCATCAGATGGGAAACAGACCCCCTGCTCTTGGAGAGGCAGTCCATAAGTGGAAGAGAAGGGGAACTGGCATAATTAAAGGATCTTCAGGTTCAGTACAAGAGTGCTGACCTATGTACACCATTAGCAGATATGGAATCTACATGTCTGTGTCATTTACTGATTTTGGCATTTGAATTCATAATTCTTTGTATTAATTTTCTTCATGTCTACATTTAACATGGAAGACCTAGAGTACTGTTTAGAGCACATCCATTTGAAAAGGAAAGGGTATTAATTTAAGGAGTGAATGAGAGGAAACCATATGGCCGTTACCTAGAGTTAAGTGGCCTTTGACTGAAAAGGATAATCACAGAAAACTCAGTTTGTATGTGAATAATTTACTCAGACTTCTTTGCCTCAAATTTTCCACATCCTTTGACAATTTTTTTGGTTAAAGATAACAGTGAAGATGACTTATGTCTTCTTAAAAAATGAGGCAAATAAGAAATCTGATAAAAAACAAAAAGTAAGTATTCATGGTGTTAACAAAGACTATGCTTGAGTTTCCTGAAAGCATCACCTGATTGCAGGGTATTTCTGTACCAATATATCCTGGCCCCAAATGACGTTTACCTGTTAGATATTTTACTTTAGCTCGTGCTCTCTCATCTGCATCAAAATACCAAACAGTTATTGCGTACCTAAAAGAAAATTTAGAATAGGATAAGAATGATCACACTGCGGGGAAAAAGTGGTATTTTGCTGCAATGGTATATTAAAACTTGTAATGCCAAAATTATGCCTAAACTGGAATGATATCAAAGGATAAATTTAACAGCTTATTTATACAGTAACCAGGGGAGACTAAAATTGATGTCTGAAGTTGATGAGTTTTTGTGACTTTCTTAATACTTATTTCAACTACTTATTTTTTGCAAGGGAACTGCAGATCAGAAAGAGACAATAGGCCGGGCACAGTGGCTCACGCCTGTAATCCCAGCACTTCGGGAGGCCGAAGTGGGTGGATCATGAAGTCAGGACTTCGAGACCAACCTGGCCAATAGGGTGAAACCCCATCTCTACTAAAAAAAAGAAAAAAAAAATTAGCCGTGCATGGTGGCACATGCCTGTAGCCCTAGCTACTCAGGAGGCTGAGAGGCAGGAGAATCGCTTGAACCCGGGGAGGCGGAGGTTGCAGTGAGCCGAGATCATGCCACTGCACTCCAGCCTAGGTGACAGAGTGAGCCTCCCTCTAAAAAAAAAGAGAGACAATAAAAGGGTAAAAGAATGGCTGTTACAGAAAAAGCACATTATCAATAGCACAAGTACTAAAAGAACAGAAAAGAAACAGATAAAAGGACTCAGGGCATTGCAGGCTAACAGTTTCAACAGTCTCTGGGGACATCACTACATTATAGCAAAGAGTAATGATGGATGTTTACAATTATAACCTTGACAGTTAAATTATGCTAAGAATTTTTAAGGATTTTAATCAAAGCAATTATACTGTGTTTTGTGTTTAAACTTTGTCTAAACTTCATTTTTCTGAAAATCTGACTTAGAATATTTCATTCCACCAATAAGTGAGGCATCTCTAGTTTATTAAATACTACAAAAGACATACTTTCTGATACAAATAATGGGGAAAATGTATAAACGCTATAGGAAGTGAAAGTACGCTACAAATCACCAGTTCCTGGGCAGAATATAGCAATTAGTTCAAATATATTGTGGATTGTGGCCAGTGGACACAGGGGAAAAGGCAACATTTATCAGACATACAGCCAGTAATATGACAGAATGAAAAATCACATAATGTATTTTGAAGTAAAGAGTCTGGGAGTTTGGACAACTGGGAGCCTGACGTTTACAGACCCCACCACTGGTGAATCACAGAGCTGAGGTCTAAGGAGGTCTCCTGACTTCCAGACCAGACTCTGCTCTTTCCAGAGTTCCACTACCTTTCTTACCATGTGGCTTCTTCTACTTTTGGGTGGCCTTGGAAATAGGAAAGGGCTCAGATACATAATTTTATGTATCTTTTGCCCATGCCCTAAACTTTTAGTCACTTAGCAATCAGAATTCTAATATCTGGATCAACAACTTACCTTATGTCATTCTAACTTTCCAGCCTTATCACCCATTCTAGATAAGATCAGAATAGGATTCTACTTCAAGAATCCTTTTCGTCGCATGATTTTCCATGCCTTAACTTGAACAACTACGCCTTTTCCCCCAGAACTTTACTAACACGACTGCACCCCTTGCCTCTCCTCACCTAGGCCAGCTGAGCCTCTCCCTTCAAAGCGCACTTGCCCGTCTCTCCAATGTAGCACCACCTTCGTTCCTCAACTCCTGTAGCACTTAGCCTCCATGCCATCTGGCATTTATTTACTATAAACTCCCAAGTATCTGTTATTTATTCATCTAAAAAGGACGTAACCAAACCAAACTCAGGATTTCATAAAAAGGAAGGTCTATGAGGCAGTTACTGTGTCAGAAAATCTTTACAGAAGCAGCAGGGGGCAGAGACAGCACTGGGATGCCACTGGGAAGAGACATGGGATTGAAAAGGGCACATCATGTGATGTGACAGTCTTTCTTTGGTTTCCATTCAGGATTTCTTACAATCTCCAGCTACAACCTGCTTAGCTTGCTACTCAGTACGTGAATTAGGATGCAGGCAACACACCTCAGAAGGCAGGAAGAAAAAAGGCACAGCTGATAATCAAGTCGTTAGAGTCAACCATCATTACTAAAGCCAACTCTCCACCCAGCGCATCTAAGCCTGTGCCTCTTCTTGCCACCCTAGCATCTCCTAAGCCAGATACAGCAAATGAATGCCGGAAGCTCACTATCAGAATGTTCCAAGACCTTTCCATAATAAAAAATAAGTATTTTTTTTTAATGTGCTATTTTTCTACAAATATTTACTTTCATGATAATGTCTACAATATCTTGTTTTCACAGCCAGAGCATTTTAATTGAGTCAGGATAAATGGTTTTTAAAAAAGCATTTGAAATAAAGCACTAAATATAATAGGTTGCAAATACCTTGTAGAAAAAGTATAATGAAACAGATGCTCATTATTTGTAAAGCTAATAGGATCATTTTTCTAACATTAACTCCCACACATGGTAACCTGTTCTCTACTTTTCTTTCTTCTGTTTTTCTCTTCACTTCTACTCTCTGGTTACCTCTGATTTTTCTACTCTGTATCCATTTTCCTATGTTGTCCCTCACCACCTTTTAAAAAACCCTTTTCCTTCTTGATCTTTCTCTCTCCCAAGTAAAATACTCTTACAAAAATCAAAGCATGGATAGTAGTTAAGAGATGCACAAAGCACGGAGAGAGTGCTAGAAAGATGGGAAGGCCTGTGCTTCCCTTTCTTCAGAGTGGCTGTGCAAAGAAAGACACATTTAGTACTAACTGTTAATGAGTCTTATATAATTATTTGAATTCAGATGACTGTGCAACATAAATCTTATACAATTATTCAAATTAAAATGACTGTGAAAAGTACCTGGCAGGAAAATACTCATTAGAAAGCTTTCACGTTTACTCTACAGATTCCCTCCTGTCCTACCATACTCTAAACCAATTTTTTCTGAAAAGGAATACTACCTTGTAGCATATGCTGGTTGTACTTCATGAGGGTTGCGACGGTCAGACCAGAAAAACAGCAGTCTATCAAATTTGGGTTCAATGTCAGCAAACTGGGCTTTGCCTTCTGGAAAAATTCGAAGTATACCTCCACTTACCTAGGAAAAGAGCCAAATATGTAAGCAGGAGTAACCAAAAATGCTACAAGATTAAATTTAGGGGGAAAAAAAGAGACAATTTCAATGTCTTAATTGGATTATTCACAAATACGTCTCAATAAAGTATGAAGATGAGCTGCAATTTTAAAAGTATATGCACTGATGCAAGGACAAATTTAGTTCTTATTTTAGGGATATTTATTTATTTATTGAGATGGAGTCTCGCTGTCACCCAGGCTGGAGTGCAGTGGCACAATCTCAGCTCACTGCAACCTCCGCCTCCTAGGTTCAAGCAATTCTCCTGTCTCAGCATCGCGAGTAGCTGGGATTACAGGCATGCGCCACCATGTCCAGCTAATTTTTGCATTTTTAGTAGAGATGGGTTTTCACCATGTTGGCCAGGCTGGACTCGAACTCCTGACCTCAGGTGATCTGCCCACCTCGGCCTCCCAAAGTGCTGGTATTACAGGTGTGAGCCACTGTCCCCAGCCATTTTAGGGATTTTTATAAATATCTGATGAAACACAAGAATGTTATCTGAATTTAAAAGTCTTAAAATGATGCTTGAAAGCTTTTAAAACTACTAAACGTTTATTTTTGTATGTTAATGATTTGCTTAACCCACCCTTCAAATAGATAGATTTCAAGAAATTTTGACAAAATTATTATTAGAAATAAATTATGTCAAATAGTTTACCATACTTTAAAATTCAATAAACAATAGGATAGTCACAAATACCTCTTACTTAAATAATTCAGTATATCAGTAGAAAGTGTCATCATTTATTATGACCATCATTATTGTCGTCGTCACCATCACCATCAGCATATAGTTCATTAGAACCTGTGGCTCTCCCTTTCCAGACTGGGCCTGATGCACAGATGACTACCTGCTTGTGAAACTTGATTCTACCCATAAAGGATTATTATTTACCTAAACACCAACTAGGCATCAAATCGCACTGGGAACTGTGGTGGGCTCTGGGTGCAGAGTAGGGAATAATGCAGACAGACTTTGTCCTTGCGGGGTTTACGATCTGGGGATAGGCAAAACCCAACCAACCAAGTAGCTCCTTACTCTTGAATAACTACACTCCTAAGCAGGTAGACTCTTAAAATTTAAAGAAACTCTAACACCTGGTCAGGACAACATGGCGTTTGAGCCTAAACCTAGAATCTATAGTTAAAGAAAAGGTTTATCAGGCTCACTGTCAGGTAAGTTAAATTCTAGCTACTTTGATACCCTTGCCAACCTTCCTCAGGTTCCAGTGTTGTTCAGAGTGATTCCCCAGGCTACTATGCAAACATCTAAAGAACCTCCAAACTGAGAACATGTCTTCTTTCCTTTTTTCCTGCTCCCTTCCCTTTGACTCAAGTCATTGGGAGTACCACAGGTGACCTGCTGAAAATGTTTTAAGTGAAATGGCTACTTGACACTTCCACTCTTCCTCCTCTGAATTAGGTGGCCCTCCTGTGTGCTCCATAGCAATCTGTCTTGACACTTTGCATAACTATCTGTAACTGTCAATCTTTCTGATCTGTATCCTCCAATAGATCCTAAGCTCTGCCAGGGCTAATTCCGTTTCTGCTACATCCCTAGCATCCAGAACAACTGACACACTACATATTCAGTGCAATCTAGCATGGAAAATTTCTATTCTACACACAAAAACACTAGGGACGTTTCTCTGCCTATGTCCTAATTTAAAACCTACACATTAATGACCCTGACTAAGTATTATAGAAATTATAAGATCAGCCTAGAAAAAGCCTAACAAAATCTAGAAGTTAGAAGCTGATGAAACACAGTTCTAGCTTTCTAGCTATTCACAAAATCTGAAAAAAAGTCAATTTTTAAATTTTAACTAAAGTTACACCCATCTGTTTTGTGCCTTGGGCTCAAATTCAATTACAAAATTTATTTCTCTACTTCAAACTTTGAAAGCTGTAACAGAAAAACCATGCTTGTTGACATGCCTCAATATATACTCAGCAGAAAGGTCAGCTCCATTTTGAACCTGGACTAGGGCAGAGAAAACTCTTTAAATCAGTGTGTTTTAGAAAGATTAGTGAAGCACTGTGAGCATATTCTAAACTTAAAACACTTTTTAGGGCAGGATTAGGTTTTTGCACATTTAAGACTCAGGCAGTTTCCATTTGTGTGTTTTGGGGGATGCAGAGAAAGAGGTTTTTTAAAGGTTATTTGACTTAAAAACAACAAAAAAAGGCACCCTGGCTACACAGGTATGTTCACTTTGTGAAAATCCACTGAACTATACAAGCCACTTTTCTATTTGAATGTTATACTTAAGATTTTAAAAAATCAACCAAAAAATTAGTCTGTACAGTCTCTAGTGTAGTAATATATGACATATTTTTTAAAAATCATTTAAATTTAATGAGACTCAGGCTAATATTAAGGAAATATATATTTAAAACAAGAGAGATTAAATATATTGTACATTCTAATTGGTTTTACAGGGCTTGTCAGTACTGATAAACTTCCAGTTTTTTAATAATCAGGGAAAGACTGAATCCTGCCTCCAATATTCAATTAAACAACTCAATGCCATATAATATTTTTACAAAAATGCCAAGAATAACATAGCAAATAATCCTTAACAATTATCCATAGATAATCTCCCCCAAAAGCCATTATAAAACAACTGTTCTCAGAAATGTTTTTCTAAAAACTATTAAAAGGAAAATATTTTAATAAAGGTCACCTTTCTAAAAAAGTTAGATTTTAGATAAGTGCTCTAACATCTGAAAATAAATGAATCCACTTTTTAAGATATATCAGTACTTTTTTATATGGTTTTGAGGTATAACTGATATACAAAAATGCATATCTTTAACATTTACAATTTGATGAGTTTGGATATATACGCACACCCTCATGACACACCACAACCAAGGTAATAAACATATCCATCACCTCTCAAAGTTCCGTTTCCCTTCCCCTAACCTCGTGTGTGCGTGTGTGTGTGTGTGTGTGTGTGTGTATGTGTGTGTGTTTAGAACACTGAACATGGAGTCTACCCTCTTAAATTTTTAAGTGCACAACACTACGTTGTTAACTACAGGTATCATGTTGTATAACATAGAGTAGTATTTGTTTCATTTTACAAAAATCCACTCCTAATACCTGAGACTGAAACAAATTTAAGAGGAAAATTTTTAACTGTGTCTGTGACAGTCTTATCAGAAGTATGAAACTTAATGCTTTTGAGAAAAAGACACCTGTAAGAAAAAAATAAATGCTCAATTAAGTTGCATACCTTGGCATCCCAGTCTTTATTAAGATAATATATACATGTCACACATCTTCCATCTCCATTTGGATTATCAACATGACGTACATAACCCGTTCCATTGCCCGGATAACAAGCAACCATGGCCTGTAATAATGATAATAATGATTATTAAAGTCCATGTATAAATAAAAAGAGAGAACAGCTAATAAATCAGATCTCTGATTTTTGGCTACTGATTTACACTTAGATTCTTCTAATAAAAATAATATTTTGTAGATAAGATAAGGCTATTCTACATTAACATTTATAGGGAACACAAGATAGGTTGATGAACAAGGACTGGTGAATTCTGCTTCACAGTGATAACTCCAAAGATCAGAAAAATTTCTTGGTCCTACTTTGACAATCTTTATAAATACAGATAATCAAGATCAAGTACGTTTTTGTCCTGCTCCATGGGAGATTTCAATCTTCCTTGAGCTCACCTCAGAACACCTACTTTACCATCTGATAGGTGAACCAACCCAGTCAACACCCCATCTGACACTGTCTCTGAATGGTACCAATTTTTTTTTTTTTTGAGACAGGGTCTGGCTCTGTTGCTCAGGTTCGAGTGCAGTGATGCAATCATGGCTCACTGCGGCCTCAACCTCCTGGGCTCAGGTGATTCTCCCACCTCAGCCTCCTAAGTAGCTAGGACTATAAGCACGTGTCACCAGGCTGGTTAATTTTTGTATTTTTTGTAGATATGGTGTCTTACTATGTTGTAATAGGGATAATTTAGGAGGTCAACTAAACTCCAAACATTAACTCATTTAGTGTCAGTGATTTTTTTTTAAAAAAAGGACTAAACAAATTAGCTTATGTTTACCCTCTTTCAATCAGAAAGAAAATTATTTGCTCAGATTATAACAAGATATGGTTCAGAAGACTGTTGGATGTTAAGCTTAAAGGTAGAAAAGAGGCCCAAAATAAAAAGCACAAAATAACTTCCATATTCTAGGTGTACATGATAATTAACTGAAATTGGTAATGGTATTTTTTAAAAAATTCTCAGGAATTATGAAGAAAACAAACAAAGACGTTCAAGGTTATGAGCTATTCTTGTTTTTGTTTGTTTTTTTACAGAGTCTTGCTCTGTTGACCAGGCTAGAGTGCAGTGGCACGATCTCAGCTCACTGCCTCCACCTTCCAGGTTCAAGCGATTCTCCTGCCTCGGCCTCCCGAGTAGCTGGGATTACAGGTGCATGCTGCCAGGCCCGGCTAATTTTTGTATTTTTAGTAGATACAGGGTTTCACCATGTTGGCCAAGCTGGTCTTAAACTCCTGACCTCAAGTGATCCTCCTGCCTCAGCCTCCCAAAGTGCTGGAATTACAGGCTTGAGCCACCACGCCACCCGGTTTGTTATGAGCTATTCTTGAAGTCCTTTATTTCTTCATATAATAAAGTCAATGAATTAGTATAAAGTTATCAAACAGTAACCGAATTGTTCTACTATCATATTAAAAGAAAAATGCTAATTTTTAAAACTCACTTCCCATCCCTAAGAAACTAAGAGGCATCTTAAACCTAAATCCTTATTTAAAAATCCTGTTTCCCTAGACACTCTGAATTCACTGCTCTTTATAAGCAGCAGAATTTTTGGAGAACATTATATATGTCTCTGTTTTTCCTGATTCCAGACAGACTTAACAAGTTCCTTCTTTCAGCACTGGAGGTTGGTAACAACCAGGAGTGTGGCATGGGCTTAGTGGGTTTAAGTGCTCAATAAATGATGAGCCCAAATGATTTTCTTGTCACTAGCTACCCAGGAAAGAAGTTTACCTTGAATAGTAACTGTAAGAGGGTACTAATTTAACAATGCAATTACTCCATTTGTGGTTAACTGAAGTAATTATGATGAATTACACAATATATTGTTATTCATGGGAAAGAAGGGGGAAACCTGAACTCTACATCTCAAAAAAGTTAATTTGGGCCTTTCCAACTATCTGGTAACTTCAGCATCTCTTGTGTAAAGAAGGAAGGGGAAAATATTTGTCAGTCACTCACCCCATCACATCCCATATATCCATTTAACAAATACCTCTTGAACATCGACTATGTATATGAAAGGCACTGGGGCTAAAACGATGAACCAAAGAGAAAAGGTCCCTTGCACTCATTTACATAGTCCCTCCTTATAAGAAGTTTTGCTTTCTGTGATTTCAGTTACCTTTGGTCAACTTAGTCCAAAAAATTTAATAGAAAATTCCAGAAATAAACAGTTTATAAATTGCACACCATTCTGAGTAGTGCACTGAAATACCTTGCAGTCCTGCCCCGTTTTGCCTGGGATGAATCATCCCTTTGTCCAGCATATCCACACTGTAGATGCTATCCACCCATTAGTCATTTAGTAGCCTTCTAGGTCATCAGAGCAATCGTCGTGGTACTTGTGTTCAAGGAAACCTTATTTTATTTAATAACAGCTCCAAAGTGCAAGAGTAGCGATGCTGGCATACTGTTATAATTGTCCTATTTTACTGTTGTTGTTAATCTCTTACTTTATAAATTAAGCTTTATTATAGGTATGTATGTACAGGAAAAAATATAGTATATTAGGATTTGGTACTATCCACAGTTTCAGGCATCCACTTGGTCTCGGAAGGTATTGCCCTCAGATAAGAGGGGACTATTGTACTATGAAATCTGGTCTAACAGCATAATTAGCCAATAAACAGATATATAATGTAATGTTAGGTAGTGAAAAGTTGTATTTTCTTAAGATATGAAAAAAATTAGGTATATAGAGAAAGATGACATGATATTCTTGAACAGTGGTTGACATTTGGGTTTAGACTTAAATGAAGGGAGCGGCAAGTTGGGCAAATCTCTGAAGAGAGAGCAATGTGGCAGAGGGAAAATGAGTGCTCAAAGGCTGAACAAGGCAGGAAAGAGCAGCAGGCCAGTGTGGCTGGAACACAGCGAGCACGGGCCAATGTGATCAGAGAGGAACCAGGTAACCTAGAGCTGCAGGGCTTGGTAAGCCACAGGAAGGCCTTTGGATATTGTGCTAAGAAGGGCCAGGAAGCCAACAGAGAATGTATCTGACTAATGTTTTGAGAATATCAGTTTCAAGTCTGTATGAATAAAAACAACCACAACAACCTCAATATCTCTTACCACCTAACATTTATGGGACATTTACTGTTTGCCATGTCCTATCTAAGTAATTTGTGCATAACAAGTTGTCTGACACAACCATGTGAGGTAAACAGTATCACTGTTCTCATCCTCATTCCTCTAAACTGAGGTTTAGAAAGGCTAATTAGTATTCGCAAAGTCACATGACAGGGAATCTGGTTCCAGAACCCATGGAATTAACCACTGTACTAGACTGCAGGAAGCAAAGAGTGAAAAGAGAAGACTAAGTTAGCTATTAAAGTTTCCGGGCAAGAAACCAAAGAGGCTGAGCCCAGAGTAGCAAAGTGGGGTGTATTCTGAAGGCAGAAAACCAACATGATTTGCTAATGAGTGGAGAGTAAGAAGAGTCAAGAATGACTACGGGGTTTTCAGCCTAGGTAAGTAAATGAATGGAGTCACTGTACATGAAAATGGAAACACTAGGTGAAAGAGCAGTTTTAATTACAAGCATCGGGTAGGAGAGGAGTTTATCGATAACTGTCAAAATGAGCCAGACATCCCAGAATAGAACAAAACTGAGGGCACCAGGATTATCCCCCAACCGGGGATCTGTTTGTATTATTCACTTCTAAACTCTTTCCTTAGAGCCCTGGAGCCCTAGGGAGGTATCTAGGGGTAGGGGACTAATTGGGAATGAAGTGATATGAGAAGAGGCCAAACAAGCAGGTTTTAACCCCAACCTTAAACTAGAGGCAGTGCTTAGCTGTTTCCTATACAGTATTTGAATTCCAAGTGAGGATTCTTTGAAAAAATAAAAGGCAGAGTAAAGAAAAGTTTTAAATCTCACGTTTTGAAGAAAAGTTTTAATAAATTTAATGTAATTGTGTTAAGTTCTATAATTCCCAGTATAGCTCAATTATCACCATCTAAATGTATTATTTAAAAGTGGCCATTACCACTTTAGTCTTATCTGGCATTCCCTAGGTCCCTTGTGCTCTGCTCTGGTGACAGGAATACTGAAAAATGAGGAGAAAGGAAGAAGGGAGAGGGGATGAGTGCTCCACAGGGCCTGCATGGATCTGCCAACCCAATTAACTTGCCAATACCAGCCCCAGGAAAGGCAGCAGTTCATGATTATAATTGTAAAAAGAATAACACGAAAAATACCAACATAACCCTATAAACCAGAAAGCCTGAAAAAGAAACAATGCAATCCACCACTATATAATTCTGAGGTAAATTCCTAATTTGCCACCTTATAGAGACACCAACTTTAAATGTTTCAATTTCCCATCGAGAAAAACCTATTTATACATAAACAAAACAAAACAATACTATTTTTTTCTTTTCTGATATGAAAATATATATGATTAAGGATGTTCTTTTTTACGTTTTCAGAGACAAGGTCTCACGACGTTGCCCACGCTGGTCTTCCCCTCCTGGGCTCAAGCAATCTGCCTGCCTCGGCCTCCCAAAGTGCTAGGACTACAGGCGTGAGACACCGTGCCTGGCTGATTGAGAATGTTCTTAAGATAGGAAACAGCATAAATTTGTTTTTCACTCTGAGAATAAAAGGAAGGAAGAGGTCCGCAATGCCTCTGAGGAATCTAGAGACATTTATTTCTAGCATTAGAAGGCTTCAATATGAAGCTGAACCAGGAAACTTATTTTTCTTTTTTGAGCTGAATTATTTTAAAACAGGGATACAAAGCTTAGAGAACTAAACTTTGATGGGTTACAGAACTATTATTTTTACCCTGAATGAAGGGAAAAGGTTTACTATCTGAAAATTTATCCTATTAAACTATATTATCAAAGCACTATGCTTTGACATAGCACTATGCCTTTTGTAGAGGCTGACAGCTAACATTTACTAATCACTTATAGGCCAGGCATGGATTACCTCGGTCATTCTTTACAGCAAACCTTAGGTAGGCACAATTTCTCCCCCCATTTTAGAGACCAGAAAACTAAACTGGAGTGAAAAGAAAAAAATTGCCGAAGGTCAGAGACTCTAAATGGCAGAGGCAGGATATGAACTGAGGCAGAGAAAAACAACTTCCTTCTGTATTCTTCTTCAATTCCTTGCTCCAGTAAGGCATGTATATAGTCCACCCAAGAGTTCAGATGAAATTGGTAATCCAGACTCGTAAGCGGCCCACCACCTGCTGCAGTGGCACATGCTCATGCCTAATGCCCAATTCTCCCATGTCAAGATGTACAGTAAGTCCTCACTAATAGCCTCGATAGGTTCTTGGAAACTTTATGTGAAACAATGTATAATGAAACCAACTTAAGTTTCTACAGCATATTTGTGGTCATAAAACATTGCCAAACTTCTAAATAAAGACCAAAACACTTCTAATGGTAAACCTTGAAATAAATGTGAGCTATATACACATTTAAGAAAGATTAATAAAAACAAGGTAATTATTTATGCCATTAGTCCAGTTTTAGGGTTGCAGGTGGCTGGGGCCTATCCTGGGAGCTCAAAGCACGAGATGGGAGCCAGCCTTGGGCAGGACGCCATTCTACTGCAAGGTGCACTCACACACACCCATATTCACTCACACTAAGATAACAGATACGTCAGTCCACATCCCAAAGATGCACACATTGGGATGTGGGAGGAAACTGGAGCACCTGAAGAAAACTTCGCAGACATGGGGAGAACTTGCATGCTCCACACAGACATTGGCCTCGGCCAGGAATTGATTCTTTATCCCTCATCAACATTATAACAAAACGACACTGAACAGAATAATGTTATTCAAGAACCTGCTGTACTGCACATGGTATTTTTCAGTTCTACAGTTAAATCTTTTTAAGTCTCTTCCCTGCCCACTTCCAAAGCACACATACACATCACTATCACTACCTTGGGGGTCTACAAAAATCTAGTTCAAATACGGAAGAAAACAGGTCATGCTGGAAGGCCATCCAGGTGGGGATGTTCAAAGGGCAGTTGGAAACTTGTGTGGAACTCCAAAAAAAAGTCATGACTGGAAATGTAAATTTAGGAGCCATCTTCGCATGGGATAGCTGAAGCCGTGTGCCTGCCACAGATTGCCAAGGGAGTACAGAGAGAAGAGAACAGAGAACAGATTGTCATGAAATAAAGTCATTTAGAATAAGAACTCCTTGAATGGCGTGAACCCGGGAGGCGGAGCTTGCAGTGAGCGGAGATCGCGCCACTGCACTCAAGCCTGGGCGACAGAGCGAGACTCCGTCTCAAAAAAAAAAAAAAAAAAAAGAATAAGAACTCCTTAAGCCTTGCTGCTTTCTTGATCACAGTAAACAACTCAGTGGTCAAAAGCTGACTTATTATAAATGATTTCTGACTAATTTTTTGACTAATTCATTTCTAAGTGTAAATGATAGGTATATATATATTTTAAAAAGACATATAAGGGCATATAGTTTCCTTAAAAATTAGAAAAATGCTATTATAATAATATTGTGATCAACAATAGTTTTGGAGCTTAATCTTTGTAAATCCTTGATATTTTCCTAAAATTAAATTACTATAAGTGAAATTATTAGGTCTTAAAGCTTTCTGATTGCTGAAATGTTCTCCAGAATTATTGCATGAGCTTATATTCCTACTGGCTTTGTATGAGTGCACACATCTTTTTAACCATTTGCCAACCCAGCATAGTAAGTTTTAATCTTTGAAAACAGCTCAATTTGATAGGTAACATTTATCTTACTAATGTTTTAATTACATCTTATATTTTTAAGTCAGCATTTTTCATATTTTATTGGCCATTTAATTCTTCAACTGCTTGCTCATATCCTTTATCCACTTTTCTACTGGGTTAATCTTTTCCCTACTGAGTTATTATTATTATTTTAGAGACAGGGTCTCACTCTGTCACCCAGGCTGGAGTGCAGTGGCGTGATCATGGTTCACTGCAACTTTGAACATCTGGGATCAAGCAATCCTCCCAAGTAGCTGGGAGTACAGGTACACGCTACCACACCTGGCTAATTTTTTAATGTTTTCTAGAGATGGGCTCTCACTACGTTGTTCAGGCTGGTCTTGAACTTCTGGTCTCAAGTGATCCTCCCACTCTGGCCTCACAAAGTACTGGGATTACAGGTGTGAGCCACCACACCTGGCCCCCTACTGATTTTTAAGAGCTCTTTGGTTGTTAACCGCTGTCATATGACACAACAACAATTTCAACCTTTTTACTCTGCTTGTGTGGAAGAGTATGTTAATACAAAGTTTTTATTATCGGTACAGGAAGGCAGAATATAATTATATTAATTATCAATGTAAAGTTTTTAAAAATCCAAGATTCTTCCCATGTTCATAGAAATATGAAAAATACAGAAAAACAATGAAAGATTATTGAAGAAGAAATAGCATTGATCCAAATCACTCTCCAAGTGGCCCAAGAATTATGAATTGTTTAATAATCTAACACCAAACTACTTTCCTTATTAGGCTCTAATTCTAGCCCATGATTAAAAAAACTTAAATATACACTTAAAAATCAACTTAAGTATGATGCTCCCGACAGTATAATCTAGAGATATGTCATGATGCCTTAGTACTCTCTGAGCTTTCATTTCCCTTTTAGTGAAGAATTGATAAAGTTATGCTTTACAAATAAGAAATTCATCTGGTGAAACACATTATATTTTGAGCTGTCTAGCTCTG
The DNA here is from genome assembly GCF_000001405.40 of Homo sapiens. Taxonomy (NCBI): domain Eukaryota; kingdom Metazoa; phylum Chordata; class Mammalia; order Primates; family Hominidae; genus Homo; species Homo sapiens. The sequence goes on from NC_000001.11 coordinate 231,381,752, forward strand.
CTGTCAGAACAGAGATCTACAATTTGTTAACCTCAGCTATAATCTTACCAGCACTGCACAACTCTTTCTTAGATTCCCAAGCAGGGCTCTGTATTTATATCACACACACCACTCCCACTGCAAACTTCATGAGGAAGACAGAGCAACCTCTCTCCACAAGGAGACTGGGGATCCTGAGCAGGTCTCAGCTTGATCCCCACCCAGGGAATTATACAACCTCATTCTAGCCCATGCAAGGAAGTATCACTGTTAAGACAGATATTCTGACAGCTATGGCAAACTTGCTATATTATTAATATAATTCGTTGGAAGAGTCTGCAATTCGGCATTAAAAACAAAAATACAAACAGAACAAAACACTTAGCTGCTTGACATTACAAACATACATTCTGGCACTTCTTGAGGCTCACTGAGCAGGTACTGCACTAGGCATGAGGATACAGAGATTAAAAGTAAAACATCTGTTTCAATTCCAGGGTCTAGAAGAGTTACGATTTAAATTCCTTAAGTTATTTTGGCACAAACAGTGTAATTATTATTTGTTTTAATGGACTAGAGGACATGAGTGAGAGGTTCCTGACATTCATCCTGGAGCACTTAGTTAACATGCAAGCCCAAGACTGGATATAAATAATCATCAGTAAATGAGGAAAGCTTGTAATCAAAAACCCTACTCCAGTGAGACAACTCAAGAAGCCTTATCTCATCTCAAAGCCAGAGAATTTAGTAATTAACATAGTGGATATTAGAAATTATGACAGTATTAGAGAAGAATGGTACTCAAGAAAGGTGTTATGGCTACACACTGTATAGGGACCACTGCTCTTACATGAACATATACATGAATCTAGTTAATCTAATGGCCTACTATTAGGGACTGTACCCTGAGCCTTATGACTCCTGCTGGTTCTGTTAGTTCCCCATAAAGGAATTCTGTTATTTGATTCCAATTAGGTTCAGCTGAATCCTAAAAGCACACTAGCATTTTTGCCTTAAATAAACCTTCCATAAAAGGTGCTTGGCAGGCCGGGCATGGTGGCTCAAGCCGGTAATCCCAGCACCTTGGGAGGCCGAGGCAGGTGGATCATCTGAGGTCAGAAGTTTGAGACCAGCCTGGCCAACATGGTGAAACCCCATCTTTACTAAAAATACAAAAATCACCCAGGTGGGGTGGCACACGCCTGTAATCCCAGCTACTCGGGAGGCTGAGGCAGGAGAATCGCTTGAACCTGGGAGGTGGAGGGTGCAGTGAGCCGACATCGCACCACTGCATTCCAGCCTGGGCAACAGAGCGAAACTCTGTCTCAAAAAAAAAAAAAAAAAAAAAAAAAAAAAGGTGCTTGTCAGATGTTCTAAAAGCATAGAGAGTAGGAATTTTATCCACCTAATAAAACAGTATTTTTGTGCTTGCTTCCTAATAAATTTTTTTTGTGTGTGGCAGAACTCAGTGTGAGTTTTGCTTTCACAGTAACATGCCATTTAGAAGCTCGGTTCTGGGGGAAGAGATTTGTAACACTCATTTAACTGTAGCCTCCAAAGAACAGCAGTACCTCTCAATAAAAACCTAATACCCGTAAACAACTACTGGCTCAGGTCAGGTCACAACAGGCAAACAGTTATGCAAAGGCACACAGTACAGTGTAATAAACACCAGAACAGAGTCTTACTTACACAAAGTACCCAGACAGCAAAGACATAATTAACTTTGTCACGGGAATGGGGATCAGAAAAGACTTTATAGAGAAAGTGACAAACGTGCAGAATTTTGAAAGACAAAAATAGAAGTTTTCCAGAGTAGAAGATTCTGTTCTGTACAGGGAAAAGAATATTTGCAAAAACAGAATCAATATGGTGCCTTGAGAGAAATGCAAATAGAAAAACTGTTGGAAGATGAAGTGCAGTGTGGAGCAATAGGGATGGGGCAGGACAGACAGGCAGGGGCAGCTCAAAAAGGCTCTCACTGACTCACTGGGGAACTTTACCTTACAGGCCAGTGTTGGCCAACTGTGTTCAGTAAGAATCGCTTGGGTTACTTCCTAAATTATGATGATTCTTATGCCCTCTGCTTGAAATTATGACTTATCAGGTATGGCATGAGGCCTGAGATCCCGTACTTTTTTTTCTTGACAATTATTCCTTCATAAGAGATCCTGTACTTTAAACAAGCACTTCATTGTAATTGGCAAAAAATCAAAAATAAAGAGTTTTGAATAATAAAATCATTTTTCCATTTTACAAACATCACTCAATCTACTTGTAGAGGATGGCCCAGATGCCACGAAATAAAAGGTTATGGACACACTGCTAATAGATGAGAGTCAGAATAAAGGGGAGTGAGAATGGAAAGGACAGGGCAGCTTAGAGCAACAGTAAGAGTGTGAAACAGAAAGGATATGGTGCTGGCGAGAGAGAAAGAACTCATTTAAAAAAAATTAAACCCTAAAAATATACACTATGTGTTCATTCAACAAATATTTTCTGAGCACCTACTATACGTCAGGCACTGTTCTAGATCTTGGGGATACACTACTTAATAGAAAAGATACAAAGTTACTGCCTTCAGGGAACATTTATTCTAGCAGGAAAAGAAAGAGAAAAAATTAAGTCAATATATAGCATAATATAAGAAATGGCAGAAGACAAGCATTACGAAGAAAAAAAAAAACACGCAATAGGGAATATAATGCTAGAATGTAATTATTTATAGGGTGGTTGGTCAGGTAGGCCTGACTGAGAAGTTGACATTTAAGAAGAAATGAATGTTCCAGGCAGAAGGAATAAATGGTGCAAAGAATCAGGTGGCAATGGGCCTGGCATATCTGAGGAAAAAGAGGGTCAGTGTGACTGGAGAGGAGGGAGGAAAGCAGACAACAGCGTAAGATGAAGTCAGACAGGTAAGGGGTTGGGGACGCACATCATGGAGGGTTTTAGAGAACACTATAAAGATTAAGTCACCGGAAGGCACTGGGTAGTCTGGTTGCCATGTAGAGCAGGGGCTGGCAGACCACAGCCCACTGCCTGTTTTTATAAGTAAAGCTGTATTGGAATGCAACCACATTCATTCAATTACATATTCTCTATGGCTGCTTTTGTGCCCCAACTCCGGTCTAGCAGCTATGACAGAGACCGTGCAGGCCACAAAACCTAAATTTTTTACCATCTGGCCCTTGACATAAAAAGTCTGCCAAGTCCTGATGTGCAAAATAGACTGAAGGCTGGCAAGAGTGGAAGGCAGAAGAGTAGTTAGAAGGCTACCGCATAAATCAGGTGTGGTACAACGATCACTTGGACCACAGTGGTAGCAATGGAGGTGGTAAGAAGTGCTGGGATACTCATACTATCTTAAAGGCAGAATAAAGCAAGATGTCCAGAAAGACTGGTATGAGATATAAAAGAAGATGACTCTAAGGTTTTGGTTTAAGCAATAGGGAAAATGTAATTACCATAAACAGATGAAGACAGCATATGGTGCAGCCTGAGTCTGGACAATGGGAGAGATCAGGAGTTCAGTTTTGAACATGTTCAGTTAGGGTATGTGTAAGGCATAGTGCTAGGAAGTGTGAGTAGAACAGAGAGGAAAACTGATCATTCCAACACAGATGACAATTAAAATGACCAGTCCATGCGCTGACTACTTCACTGGGGAGAAGGTTGGGATCAGGAAGGACTATCTGAAAAATGAGTTTTGAAAGAGTATGAATTAGCCAGGTAAGGAAGGAGAGGGGGCATATTCCAGGAAGAGAAAAGGTCATGGTGTGTGTGTAGACACATGCTGTGTAAACTGCAAACAAGGGTGAACCTGACGTGTGAGTCAAGGAATGTGACAGGTAAGGCTGGACATAGCTCTGGCCCCTTCCCAAAAGCTTAGTAAGCCCCAATGATGAACTTGGGTTTTAGTGGGTAACAGGGAGCCACTGAAGAGGTTTAAACAAAGAAGTGACACATTCAGACTAGAGGTTTTCATTCACTTCGGTAGGTGACTGAGTGGCACCATTTTTGTAGTACAGCTATAAAGCAGTAAGTTGCTAAGACTGGCCAGAAAACATGTAAATCAGGCTCTTAAGAATTCAGTAACTGCAATAAAAAGGAGCTGATTTTTTTCTTTTTCTATTTTTGTTTTCCTGAGACACGGTCTTGCTCTGTTGCTGGAGTGCAGTGGCGTGATCATGGCTCAATGCAGCCTCAGCCTCCTGGGCTCCTGCCTCAGCCTCCTGAGTAGACTAGCTAATTTTTAAATTTTTTATAGAGACAGGGTCTTACTTACTATGTTGCCCAGCTGGCCTCGGACTTCTGGACTCAAGTGATCTGCCTGCCTTGGCCTCCCAAAGTGCTGGAATTACAGGCACGAACCACCATGCCCGGCTGGTTTTTTTTTTCAATAATAGCGTAACTCCCTTTGTAGGCAGATAACCAAACACTTCTGAAAAGTTTTTTTGTGGCATGATGGACAAAGATTCAAGTCACAACTTTCATCAGAGTACAAGTTCTATTTGTATAGAACTCTAGTTCACAGCATTTACAAATAATTATCTCATTTCAATTCTGCAACAACTCCATGAGGTATTCAGAGAAATGACTATCTCCATTTTACAAATAATTTTATCTAGTCTTGTTTTAAGAGCTGAAGTGTTTAATCTTTGCATCCATACCACTGCGGGAGAGTGTGGTTAATGTAAGGACAAGATCCAGTCTTAGAAAATAATGATGAGTCTGTTTCATCTAACATTAACCTCATTCTACTTTTATCACTTTGAATTAGTTTAATGTTATTTGTTTTTTCACATCATTCTTAGAAAAGTTACTTAATTATTTATATATTGCCACACCTAAACACACTCATTTTTTTTTCTGGGTTTCCCCAACCAGACTGTAGACTCCAACAGAGGATGAACCAGCTCTTATTTATTCTTGTACTCCTAGTGCCAAACACAGGCACTCAAATATCTACTGAATAAATCAATTAATGATTTACCTTGAGAGAACAGAGATGATAGATTAGACAGATAAAGAAGAGTAACATAAACATCTTTAATACAATTTTAAAACAGAAGGTGGGTTTTACCATCCATTGCTAAAGATTGATAGAAGTACTGCTAGCTTGTAAAAATATATATACATATATTTTAGACACAAGGTCTCATTCTGTCACTTAGGCTAGGGCGCAGTGGCTTGGATCATAGCTCACTACAACCTCAAACTCCTGAGTGGGAGTAATCCTCCTGCCTCAGCCTCCTGAACAGCTCTACAGGTGTGCACCATCACACCCAGCTAATTTTTTAAAATGTTTTGTACAGATGAGGTCTCGCTATGTTGCCCAGGGTGGTCTCAAACTCCTGGCCTCACGCAATCCTCCTGCCTCAGCCTCCCAAAGCACTGAGACTACAGGTGTGAGCCCCTGTGGCTAGTCAAAAAAAAAAAAATTGAAGTTTGACAACTTGCCATTTGCATGAGATGTCAAAATAACACCGGCATGCTATATATGTATACACACACACACACACACACCCCCCTAATTAAATAAAGACAGAATACTAAATTATGCCTACAGATGGTTTTCATTCAGTACCATGTGTTTTTATTTTGGCCCTAGATGCAACCTATTTTTTTAATTTTTTTTTTTTTTTTTGTGACGGCGTCTCGCTCTGTCGCCCAGGCTGGAGTGCAGTGGCTTGATCTCGGCTCACTGCAAGCTCCACCTCCCGGGTTCATGCCATTCTCCTGCCTCAGCCTCCCGAGTAGCTGGGACTACAGGTGCCTGCCACCACGTCCGGCTAATTTTTTGTATTTTTAGTAGAGACGGGGTTTCGCCGTGTTAGCCAGGATGGTCTCGATCTCCTGACCTCATGATCTGCCCGCCTCGGCCTCCCAAAGTGCTGGGATTATAGGCGTGAGCCACCACACCCGGCCGCAACTTATTTTTAAGGATGTTTAAGTATACCTAGTGAGTGGTTTAGAAAAACAGACTGAGTACAAGATTTTCATAACAACTATTAAGAAGTCAAGTTCTCTATATCCTTACATCCCATCAATATCTGTCAGGCATACTGTCAGTAACTACCAATATCCAATCTCTCTCTCAAATGCTTGTTCCCACCACCCACCAGAACATCCATCTATACCACTCTTCTGCCTCTCACCTATTCTTCAGTCACCTGTTTCTTTGATCCACAGTTTTCTGGTGGCCCAGGCTTAATCTTTATGTCACAATGTTTGCTGAACCTGTTAAGTGATCTACCCTGCTCATCTGATCAATATCATTGTATGTAAATCTACTGTAGGCAGATCTTTACAGATTGCTATACACTATTACATCTAAATGTCTTGTTGACAAAAGAGGAAGTTTATTTTGGTTGTAGAGGGTGTTAGAACCCAGTGACTCTAAGCAAAGTGATTGATGGGCCATAAAACAAAAATTGAGTACCACTGCTAAAGGATATGACTAATTTAAAGAGAATGTTGCAAGAAGTCTAAGGACAGAGGATGGAGGCCTCACATTTGTAATTAAATTGAGAGAACTGTAAGAAAATTAAGAGGGAAGAACCAACTAGATACATTTTTTAAAATCTTGAAAAATATTCTCACATATGTGGTTGATAAGACGGTGAAATGTGAGCTGGGCAAACTAACATTAATAGTTAGTTTCTCTATGAATCCTACATCCAGGCCTCTCTGCCAGCCTGCCAGGAGGTTCTACTATCTCTAGCCTGTAGCTAGTGTCTGTCTCTGTCTCGCTCTCTGTCTGTCTCAGTCTCACTCTGTCGCCCAGGCTGGAGGGCAGTGGCGTGATCTTGGCTACTGCAACCTCTACCTCCCTGGTTCAAACAATTCCCCTGCCGCAGCCTCCCAAGTAGCTGGGATTACAGGCATGCACCACCATGCCTACCTAATTTTTTGGTTTTTTGTTGTTGTTGTTGTTGTTTTGAGACGGCGTCTCTCTCTGTCGCCCAGGCTGAAGTGCAATGGCGTGATCTCAGCTCACTTCAACCTCCGCCTCCTGAGTTCAAGCGATTCTCCTGCCTCAGCCTCCCAAGCAGCTGGGACTACAGGCGCCCACCACCACGCCCAGCTAATTTTTATATTTTTAATAGAGACAGGATTTCACCATGTTGGCCAGACTGGTCTCAAACTCCCAACCTCAGGCGATCTGCCCACCTCAGCCTCCCAAAATGCTAGGATTACAGGCGTGAGCCACCGCGCCCAGCCTAGCTAGTCTATATTTTTATCAATGATTTTGAGTCACACAAATAAAGGAATCTTATTAATGTAACCTTTCTCAATAGGAAAATATACAGCTCATACAAAGCTGGGAAAAGTAGCCAATATCACAAATAAAAGAAAGAAGATTCAATGTGATCTCAATTGAATCAACATGATGAATTCTAATAAAGTTAAAAATAAATCCTACTTTCAAAATGGCAAAAATCAACCATACTATACAGAAGTAATAACCAGCAGCATTTACTGACAAATTACTATGTGTTAATAACTTTACATTTATTCTTTCACTTAATCTTTACAATCCCTGGAAGGCAGGTTTTATTCTCATCTTGCAGAGTAAACTATAAAATGAGGGTAAGACAGCTTGGCAGAATAGAGATCTTTGAAGCTTGTATCCATTTCTGGGGACACATTAGAGGGCGAACGTTGACAAAATGAAAAAAAATTTTTTTTTAAAGAAAAGTGGCCAAAATAGTGACAGCAATATCCAGCGAGTAACAGTGGCAATAAATGAGTAGGTTTAGCCTGGAGAAGACACATTCCTCATGGACTGTAATCTCTGGAGTACAGGGACCAAGTCAGATAAATATACCACATCTTATGTAGCACCTTCTAGTTTGTAAAACTGCTTTTCACCTTCACAAAAGAGAGCATGAAGTAAAAGGAAGAACACAAAGATTAAGAACAGTGGGGCTCTGACCGGGTGCGGTGGCTCACGCCTGTAATCCCAGCACTTTGGGGGGCCGAGGCAGGCGGGTCACGAGGTCAAGAGATTGAGACCATCCTGCCCAACATGGTGAAACCCCATCTCTACTACAAATACAAAAAATCAGCTGGGTGTGGTGGCAAGCGCCTGTAGCCCCAGCTACTTGGGAGGCTGAGGCAGGAGGATCACTTGAACCCGGGAGGCAGAGGTTGCAGTGAACTGAGATAGCGCCACTGTACTCCAGCCTGGCAATACAGCAAGATGCTCTCTGAAAACAAACAAACAAACAAACAACAACAACAACAAAAGAACAGTGGGACTCTGAAGCCAGATTTCCTGCACATGAAGCACACGACTCTGCCACTTACTGACTGTGTTACTTTGGGCAAATTATTCAACTTCTCTGTACCTAACTACCCTTGTCTGTTAAGTGAAAATAACAATAGTATACCACATGCAAAGCTAATAAACTAGTACATAAAAATGCTTAAAACAGTGTCTGGTGCACTTTTTAAAAATAATGTGTATGGTAGGTATGACTAATGGCTGTGGACCTTGGGGAAGTCCCAAGCCTTCAGCGCTGTTTCCTCACTTGAAAAATTAGGGTATCACTATCTACCTCACAGGGGTATGAATCAAATAAGACAATACAGGAAAATGTTCCATAAGTCTTAATTCCTTCCTTCTTTCATAAACTCTAAGAGAGTCTACTATGTGCCACGTACTATGCTAAGTTTAATCTTTATAGTCTCAATCCTCACCACAACTGTGTAAATGTCTACTACTATTATTCTCATTTTGTAGACAAAGAAATGCGGCTTAGAATGGCTAACTTAACTGAGGTCATGCTCCTAAGTGGTCAGATAGACTGTGAACCCAAGGTTGTTGGACTCTATATTCCAGTTTTGGGCCTCCATATATGCACATTCCCTCATGTACACATCTTTGCAGCTAACCACATGCCTAGTAAAATGCCTGATAGATTGAAGCGATTCAATAAATGTTCCTTTAATCAAATAAATGAATGTTGTCTGTCTTCAAGTTGCTAATACCGTTTTGAGGAAAGAAGAGCATAAGGCAGCACAGGCAGAAATGCCTGTCCTTGCTCCACTACTTCTAAATGATGGTGAGATCTTAGACGCTATCATTTGGGCCTGGATTATCTTTACTATTATTAATTTTTTTTTTTTTTAAGAGACAAGGTCTCTGTCCCCCAGGCTGGAGATCAGTGGCGTGATCATAGCTCACCGCAACGTCAAACTCCTGAGCTCAAGCAATACTCCTGCCCCAGTCTCCTGAGTAGCTGGGACTACAGACGCAAGCCACCATGCCCGGCTAGTGTGCGTGTAGACAGGAACTGATTCACCACGACCGACGCGTGTGTGTGTGAGACAGGGAACTCATTCTGTTTTTTTTTTGTGTGTGTGTGTGTGTGTGTGTGTGTGTGTGTGTGTGTGTGAGACAGGGAACTCATTCTGTTGCCCAGGCTGGTCTCAAACTCATGGGCTCAAGTGATCCTCCCATCTTGGCCTCCCCAAGTCCTGGGATTACAGGTGTGAGCCACCATGCCCAGCTGGTATATCTTTAAAATAAGGAACCTGGACTATGCTATCTTCCAATCTAGCTCTAAGACTATACATCCATAAGGCAGTGCTTCTGATCTAGCAGAGATTTAAAATAAAAACACTAGAATTTTAAAAGTGGAAAAGATCATAAAGGTCTGGCCCAAACTCTTTAGAGAGGGGAATCCCAAAGGACAAAAAGGGGTCTCCTGATTTCCAATCCTGCACTGCTTCCTTTATGACGACACAGATCAGACATTTCAGACAGGATTAAAAAAATATAATTGGCACCGCAGAGCCCCAAATCATGAAAACCAAAATAAAATGGTACTCGGTAACTTTTATTAGTCTAAAAACTCAAACTCTGTTACAAAACATATGGTTTTAATGCTTAAAATACGCATCTTAAAAATAAGAGCACATGAGACTATCTTTTTATTTTTGTGAATAACCAATTTGAATAAGTAAACAGGACAACCTCAGAATAAATTATTTTGAAAATACAAGCCTTAAAAACACACTATTAGCTTTTTATAAAAAAGCGTTTATAGAAATACTAGATAAGATTTTGAAACTATTATTACAAAGACTAAACAAAGATTAACAAAAATATTTCCATAATCTCTACAGATATACTAAAAATGAAATAATCCAACTAGAATTTTACATATTCAAGTATGGTATAAGAAGTTTAAAAAAACAAAAGAGTTCTAGGACCAGAGTGGCTAAACATAAAAAGCCACTTATAAGATTAAAATATAAAGCACAGGCTGGGCGCGGTGGCTCACGCCTGTAATCCCAGCGCTTTGGGAGGCCTAGGCGGGCGGATCACGAGGTCAGGAGATCAAGACCATCCTGGCTAACATGGTGAAACTCCGTCTCTACTAAAAATACAAAAAATTAGCCGGATGTGGTGGTGGGCGCCTGTAGTCCCAGCTACTTGGGAGGCTGAGGCAGGAGAATGGCGTGAACCTGGGAGGTGGAGCTTGCAGTTAGCCGAGATCGCGCCACTGCACTCCAGCCTGGGCGACAGAGCGAGACTCTGTCTCAAAAAATAAAATAAAATAAAATAAAAATAAATAAAGCACAAAACATTTTAAGAGAAAAACTAAGAACTTAATTTTAAAAATTTTCCACTATAATACTTAAAGTAAATGCTATTTAAGTCATATTAACAATTATTTATTAAGCATACTATGTAGAAAAATTGGTGGCCCAGGTCTGTCTGATTCACTATATGCTGTCAACCAGTGTAACTAGACAAAATGTGAAAACTACAATGAGAAAATTACAAGTAAAATGTTATGGTGGTAATAGAGAGGGTGAGGTATGGAGCTGTCCAGCCTGAATTCAAATCTCAGCTCTACCACTTCCTAGCTGTATTTGGAAATAATGACAGTATACACTTCAAAAACCTATGGTGAGGATAAACAATAGAATACATGTAAAAGACTAGCATAGCACCTGGTACCTAGTAAGCATCTAACAAATGTCACTTATTTTCATCATTACTGACAGTCTCATAATCTTTATCTTCATCCTCAAGCAGTCACAGGTGAGATTTTTCATCCCTGTCCACGTGTGGACAAGCAGCTTTTGTTTGCCTGGCATCCATTCCCCTTCTTCTCTTTCCAGGTGCCTCATTTACTTGGGAAAGCCTGACCTGTAGTCCTCAGTTCTCACCCCTAGGTGAGGTTCACTCTCTACCCTCCAGGGTGGACATGTGGCTCAAGCCTGGCCAGAAGTTGGTTCAGAAATGGGCAAAGGGCCTAAGCCAATCAGAGGCAACTCCAGGATTTTTGTCAAAGCCCTTGGTAAAGAGCAGCTCTCTTTCTGTATGTATCTCCATGATGTAATGCTGAAACTATTAGGGCCATCTTGTTGTCATATCAGGGAGCTTACAAGAGAATAACTAATATAGAAAAGAAAAGCTGAGAGATCAAGTTTTGATAATATTGTTTGAGCCCTTGGTTCCAACTCTGCCAGTCAATCAGCAGACCCATAGGTAAGGACCAATACATTTTGTTCTGGTTTGCTTAAGCTCATTTGAAAGATTTTTGTTTTGTTTCGGTTATTTGCATCTGAGAAGCTCTATAACACGTCAGGTATCAATCAAGAGCCAGAAGCTGGTGACCTAAAATATAGTAGAGCTTAGAAGGGCATGGATTTGGAATCGGAGAGATCTAGTTCCTAATCTTGTTTCTAACAATTACTAGCTGCGTGGCCCTGGGCATGTGTCTAATCCTACTTCTTCATCTGTAAAATGGCTTAATACCTGCCTCAAAGGGTTGATGAGAGGATAAATGACAATATAAACTGCTCAGTCTTCTTCATAACAATGAACAATCAATAGAGGCTATTATTATATCACTGAATCCCAAGCTGATCTTTGTATCTGACCTCTTATATTCCATGTCCCTGTTTCCAGTGGTATAAACAGCCATCTTTACCTACATACTCTCCTATCCAACCTCAAATTCAACATTTCCAAATCTCATCCTGCCTCCATGCTTCCTCATCACACCCTCTGCCTTTCCCTTTCAGAAAAAAAAATGCTCACTGGAGGCCAATTTATCATCAATTATTAACTATGTTCCCAGTAGGTTTTAATATCAGAACAGTAGGAGTCATCCTAGACTGAAACTTCTTTCCTGTTATCTAATCAGTCACAAAGCCCTGTTAAATATCTGCAGCCTGACAGGAAAGAATTTTCCTCTCCCTGTGGATAAAAACAAGGGCAGGATTCTTCCAACTTCAGGATATGTAGCCTTTTCATTGGCTTGCAAGGAGAACTCCAATCCTTCTACTCCTTTTTCTCATCTCATCCTCCTTGTGGCTTCATTTCTTTTCATATTCAGGATAGATTTTTGCTAGCTTATTTTTTCATTAACCTCAAGCTGCAAATCAACAAACGTAGACTAATCCAATTTATTGCAGTTCCCACACCCAAGCTACTAGCACCACTGGAAAAAGTTATAATTATGCAGATTGACACCACTAAAAGTTGTCTCTGACCTCACCTGGACCTTCAGAACTCCTTGGCAATTTCTGTATTTCTGGTCAGGTTTGTTGATGTTCCTCAAAATGGTTATTTCAAATCTCCATTGCTCACCTCTCTCAGCCATTATTTTAGTCCCAATTTTCCTTTTTTTTTTTTTTGAGACGGAGTCTCGCTCTGTTGCCCAGGTTGGAGTGCAGTGGCGCAATCTCGGCTCACTGCAAGCTCCACCTCCCAGGTTCACGCCATTCTCCTGCCTCAGCCTCCCGAGTAGCTGGGACTACAGGCGCCCGCCACCACGCCCGACTAATTTTTTTTTTTTTTTTTGTATTTTTAGTAGAGACGGGGTTTCACCGTGTTAGCCAGGATGGTCTCGATTTCCTGACCTCATAATCCACCTGCCTCAGCCTCCCCAAGTGCTGGGATTACATGCATAAGCCACCACGCCTGGCCAGTCCCAATTTTCTTATTCACTAGATGGAGATATTTTCTATGTACTTACCTGAGATAATTAAGGCAAACAAGCAAAAACTTCCTCAACTTTTCACCCCCAGATTTCTAAATTTATCTAAATAAATAACCCTTGTCATCTCATTTCCCTCAATCAGAATGGCTAGGATGCGGGAAAGTACACAATATAGTGATGGAATAAATAAAAGGAAGAGACATTCTTTCTCCTATATAAGGCCAATCCTGCCTCCTATAGTGCCTCTGAAATTTTAATATGCATACAAATCACCTAGGGATAGTGTTAAAATGCATATTCTGATTCAGGAGGTCTGGAGTGGGGAATAACGTTCTTCATGTCTTCCAACAAACCAGTGTTGGTTTGGGAGCAATATTTAGAGAAAACAGATTCCATCCTTTCTCACCTCCTCAGAGATCTTTTACTCTAAGTCAACATTTGTTGCTTCTTTATCAGCTGCTCCCTCCCCCAACATACAACATATCTGTCTCTTTTATTTTAAAATAAATGCTCCTTTGTTCCTCTTTTAGCTACCGCCCAATCATCTAGGCTCTCTTTGGCTCCACAGACAAGTTTCTATGAAGAAGTCCTATGTCAACGGTTCCAAACTTTCTTGGCTCAAAGAATCTTTAGTGTCTCAGTGATCTTGCAGGGTAAACCTCGGCCAAAAGAAGTATCTAACAACTGTAGTTGCCTCCGTTAAGCAGTAAGAGCCAAACCACTTAGTAAGTATTTTAAGTTCTAAAAACTGGATGCCTGTTGGGCACTGCATACTTTTCAAACTCTGGACTCAGATTGAACACTGACAGCCTCATTTCCTGTTCCACACTGATTTTCAGGCAGTACTTGCTTTTTATCAGAGCAAGCACTGAAAATCCAGCTTCCCAAAGGTATGACATCACTGAAAGGAATGCAGTGATCTAATACAGCAATCTAATGACGCCAGTGTATTTCCCTTGAAATTTAAAAATATTCCATGGCACCCTTGCAAGTTAGCTACAGTGCTCTGGGATACATCGATGAACAATTTGGGATACTGAGTTCAGGTGGCTGTCAGAACGGCAGCATCCCCATTGCTTGGGAGGTTGTTGGAAATGTAGAATCTGGGCATCCATGCCAGACCTACTGATTCAGAATCTCCACTTTAACAAGATCTCCAAGTGATCTCCCAGTGACTCATAGACACATTAATGTAGACCAGAAGTGCTGGTCTAAGGTCCCTGCTTACGTTTTCTCACATACCACTCACACCCAACGCACCGCTTTCTGACTTTGCTCCCACAACTCCAGTGAAATTACCCCAGGAAAAGTCCCAAATTACCCCACTCCTTTAAAAAGAAAAAAAAAAAAGGCAATAAATGTCTTTTAGTTCCAATCCTAATTAACCCTCTCTATAGTGTTTGGTACTATTCATCTTCTTGAACCTCTATTATTTCTTGGTCTCTAAAACACCCCCGTCTTCTGGTTTTCTTCCTTTTCTTTCAATACACATCCCCACCCCCTTCCTCTACTGACCCAGGCAGTTTTTGTTTTTTCCTCACTGGCTTCTTTTTTTTTTTTTCTTTTTTGAGATTGGGGAGTCTCGCTCTGTTGCCAGGCTGGAATGCAGTGGCAGGATCTCGGCTCACTGCAACCTCTGCCTCCTAGGTTCAAGCGATTCTCCTGCCTCAGCCTCCCAAGCAGCTGGGACCACAGGCACGCGCCACCAAGCCCAGCTAATTTTTGTACTTTTAGTAGAGACGGGGTTTCACCATGTTGGCCAGGATGGTCTCGATCTTTTGGCCTTGAGATCCACCTCCCTCAGCCTCCCAAAGTGCTGGGATTACAGGTGTGAGCCACCGAGCCCGGCCCCTCATTGGCTTCTGTCATGAGCAAATACCCTTGCTATAGACAACTTTTCCTCTGGAGAATTACATTCAATCTCATGCCCACCCCAGTAAGTCGAGGTTGCTCTCCAGAGCCTTAAGTCATATAAAACCAATTTCCATCTGGATGTCCACAAGCAAAGCAAACTTAACAGTTCCAAAGCAATTTATTTGTCTGTCTTCCCTGGCCTTCACATTACTCTTCTTCATGTATTATTTCCTTTACTGAGTGGCATCCTTGTTCAACCAGTCTCCCTACGGAAACTTAGAACTATCATCCTTGACTCATCCTTCTCCATTTCCCTTGCCCTACACAATCAATCAAATCAAACCTTCTTGCTATGTCTCTAATCTGTATAACTCTCTCTACCTCCAATACCTACATCTTAAAAGAAGCTCTTATCTTTTGCTTCAATTCCTGTTAACAGTCTTCTTATCTATCTCCCTCCCTCCAGAATTGCCATGCCCTTCTCCAAACTATTCTCCACACTCCATTCAAGTTAGTTTTCTAAAATTAAAATCTGATGTCACTGCCCTCCTCTAAATCCTTCCATAGCTCCCAATGCCTAGCAGTGCTTCTCAAGCTTATCCAACAAATGGCAGAAGAGTTTGTAGTTACAGATCTAAGAGGTTCGCTACAAACAAGACATTTCTTGCAAGGCTGTTTCATTTTAAATAGTCATCTTGATTTTATATTCTATTCCTTGGGTGGCCACTTATGTTATTAAAAGAATGTTTTAAATCAATATAAATCAAACTACTTAACTTTTTCTCCACAATAACTGAGTAAAATTACGTTCAAGGAAGACACACTGGTTACCTGTGGCTTCAAATATCCCTTGGCACAATGCCACTAGACCAGGGATTGACAAACTATAGCCTGCAGGCCAAATATGGCCTACCACTGATTTTTGTAAATAAAATTTTACTGGAACACAGTCAAGCTCAATCTACTGTCTATGGCTACTTTCAAATTACAATAGCAGAGTTGAGTAGTTGCAACAGAGACCATGTAGCCCACAGCCTAAAATATTTATGATCTGGCCCTTTGGGAGTCACCTGACCCCTGCATCAAAACATGAGGATTGTTAAGGCTAGAACTGTGTTTTGTCTTTATGTCTTCAGCACAGTTCTACAGAAGGTATTCAAAAATATTTAACTTAATAAATTAGAATGTTGCAAGAAGATCTCCAAGGGCACATAAGGAAAGTGTCCACAAAGCTGATACAGAATGCACCTAAACCCTAAGGAGAAATATACAGGGGCCAAATAGAAATGTTCCTTCATCAGTCAGTGAAATCTGAAAGGCTGAGATAAGACAGATGAAATGGAATACTACTACACAGAGGTCAAAGCAGGTTCTGAAGAAACTGATAAGCCCATCAGACCTAAAGCTACCTCCCCAAAGAACCACAGTATATAGGACTGTATTGATAACACATGCACCTAGTAGCATCTAAGAAAGAGTCAGGAACTACTATTCAGGGCAAATGCTATGAGAATTATTTCTGGAATCTTTGTAATTGCATAATTTGTACTTCTCCAAATGATGAGAACCAAAACACTTAAAACCGAAATATTTTAGATGACAGTAGGAAAATAGGGAGCTAAAAGTTCATTCTACCTTGCAGTCAATATCTCAAAAAGATAATTAGTTCAAGAAATACTAGAAGGAATGGTAATTTAAAAGGAAAGAAAGAAAGAAAGGTAGGAAGGGAAGGGTCAGCAAACTATGGCCTGTGGGCCAAGTCTAGTCCAACATCTTTTTCTTTTTTTTAAAGAGATGGGGGTCACATTATGTTGTCCAGGCTGGCTTTGAACTCCTGGGATAAAGCAATTCTTCTGCCTCAGCCTCCCAAGTAGCTGGGACTATAGGTGCATACCACCATGCCCAGACCACCACCCATTTTTGTAAATAAAGTTTTATTGGAACACAGTCACACTTACGTGGTCACGTATTTCTATGGCTGCTTTCCTGTTACAACAGCAGAGTTAAACAGTTGCAACAAGGACGGCAAGGCTCACAAAGCCCAAACTATCTACTATTTGACTCTTTGGGGTAAAGAATCTCCTAATATCCACTCTGGGAAGATGGATCTGATAAGAGAGAAAGATGAATGTAAAGAACAGATTGGGGAAAACAAAGAATAATGGAGGTAGGGAGATGACATTCACGGCTACTGGGGGAAAAAATACACACACGATAAAGTGAGGGTTTAACTATAGTAGTGAGAACTGAAGCAAAAGATGGATATTTGAGCCTTGGTGTGAGAACGCAGAGAGGAACCAGAAACAGACTCAAAGACAATGAATGAATCAATTCAATGCTAAGGTACCATGCCTAAAAGGAGATCAAGAACATGAGTAAAAATATGGAACACATGATAAACAGCAGGTTTCAGAAGGAAGATAATAGGGTAGGATTAGTCTGATATTAAGTGTGAAAACTCTAAAATGCCAATAAGACATACAGAAAACATTTAATGGCAGTTTGAAATACACCTTAACAGTGCAAGAAGGAAATCTAACTAGAGAAATAGAGTTAGGCATCAACAGTTCAGTGACGGTATCTGAAGATACAGAAGTGGATGAGATCAATAAGCTAGAAAAGACAGCAGGAGCAGCAGATCCCATTACTCAGCAACTACAGTGTTTCAGACCCTATACTGGGCACTTTATATTATCTCTAATCCTCCCAACAATCCTGCTATAAAGGAATTACCCCTATTTTACAGATTAGAAATCTAAGTTTGGAAAGGATTGAGGAAATTTAAAATTCCAAGGTCATACAGCTAATATGTGGCAGGGGTAGAATTCAAACCCCAGTCTACCTGACAGGCCTATAATCCTTATTACATATAGAGAAGAATGTTGACACCAAAACCAGAGAGAAATACTATTTATAGTTAGTGAGAAGAAAGGAAACCAGCAAAGAAGGAATGGTTCAAGAGATCACAGAAAGCCATGGCAGTACAGTATCATGTAAGCCAACAGAGGAGAATAAAGCCAACAGGGGAGAGGCGAGTAGAAGCAGGTGGTAATTTTAATGGCTATGTGCCAGGTACAGTGCTTTACATATATTAGCTCATTTACTTCTCTCAATAATCATGACATAAGTACTATTACTATCCCATGAAATAAATATGAGAAGGCAGATAACTTGCTAGCATCATACAACCAGCCAATGGCAGAGCTGGGTTTTAAATCTAGGCAACCCCCCTTTGCATCCTACATTCTTGACCAATATATACCACGCTACCTGTGGGCACTACGAAATGGTTAAGGAGAAAAACACAGGAGAGGGAAAAGGGCAGACCCTTTTACAAGGGGAATAACAACTTTCAAAAGTTTAGTTTTAGAACATCACTTGAAGGCACATGTCATAAAGAAGTTAACAAACAAGCAACTATCACATAAAGACAGATAGTATCATCTACTTTTAGAAGCCTTGGGGAAAAAGGTAAGAGAATATTAATCTATAGGGTTAAAACTATCAAGAAAATATAAACCAATTTGGGGTATTAGAAGGCCTTTTTGCTTTGCAAGCTTATAGGTTGTGAGAGGTGTATATAAGACTTAATAAATGTCCTTTGGGTATCTGAGATATAGGATGTAACTTTTTAGTATCCTTTAACAATGGAGAGTATGCCCTACACAAGAATTCTCAGACCCAAATGTGAATTAGAATCTCCAGGAAATTGTCTTTAAATTTTTTATTTTCGTGGGAAAATAGTAGGTATATATATATTTTCTCCATGGAATTTTAAGGAGCTATGAGTCTTCACCTCAGATTCAGAATCTCTGATTCAGAAGATCTGTAGTGGGGCCCTGGCATTAATGTGATCTTGATCCAAAACTTATATACTTACAGAAACTATGACACCCTCTGCATACATTGCCTGAGTTACTTGAAAACAGTATCTTAGTAAATGTTTAAGGTTAATATGAACTTTACTACTTGACCAATACCATATGTTATGATTTACATGAAAAAACTAACCTGCTCAAAAGATTTGTATACGATATCTGAATACTATCAAAATAATGTTCCTTTGAGTGAATGGCTGGGTTTTTCCTTGAGTGTGAGTTTGTACCTGTTGAAATTAAACAACATTCCAATGGTGCATTTCTGAAATTACTTCAATAAGGGAAAGACTCATTTAATAAATATTTGGCTCATCCTAACCTTTTAAAATTGAGAGGCCATGTCTGGTGGCTCACGCCTGTAATCCCAGCACTTTGGGAAGCTGAGGCGGGTAGATTGCTTGAGGTCAGGAGTTCAAGACCAGCCTGGGCAACATGGTGAAACCCCATCTCTACAAATAATACAAAAATTAGCCAGGCATGCTGGTGCACATCTGGATTCACAGCTACTCAGGAGCTGAGATGGGAGGATCATTTCAGCCCAGAAGGTGGAAGTTGCAATGAGCTAAGAGATCGAGCCTCTGCACTCCAGCCTGGGCAACAGAGTGAGACCCTATCTCAAAATAAACAAATAAATAAACAAGAAATTTCTGTAATGCATACAGTGAGATCAAGTAGGAGACCTGAAAATAAATACAACACCCCTCAAAAGATGCATAGAAACTTAACTTCACATGTCTTAGCTAGGAAGTTAAGCTCTAGAATCAAACTATCCTGGTTTACCTAACTTTCTAGCTGTGTGATTTGGAACAAGTTTTTAAATCTCTCTGTGCCTCAGTTACCTCAATTATAGAATGAGGAAAATAGTAATGACCTGCACCTCATATGGTTGCTATGATAATTAAATGAGGTAATCTGGGTAGAAAGAGCACCTAATAGTGCTTGGTACACAATAAGCATTCAATAAATGTTGGCAATATAAGCAAATAAAAATGTTCACTAGCCCAGCAATTATAGTCTAGAAATTTTTCTTACAAAAACCTTGTTAAAATGTACAGAGATACATCTTTAAGAATATCTAATGCATTGTTGGCATCAGATTATTTGTGACAGAAAAAAATTACAAATAGTACAAACTTCAACCATGAAGAGCTAAATAATTTATGTTACAATTTTTAACTCAGCATGATGTTTCTGAGATTCATCTGAAGTTGCTGCATAAAAGACTAGTTCACTTCATTTTACTGCTAAATAGTATCTCATTGTATGATGAAGCACACTCTGTTTACTCACCAGATGATGGACATTTGGGTTGTTTCCTATTTTTGGTGATAATGAATAAAAATATTCAAGTCTTTGTATGAACGTGTTTTCACTTCTCTTGATAGATACTTAGGAGTGGAATTCCTGGGTCATATGATAAATTTATACTTAACTTTATGAGAAATGGCTAACCCGTTTTCCAAAGTGGCTGTACCATTTTGTATTTCCACAAGTAATGAATGTATGAGGATTGCACATGTTCCATGTCCTTGCCAAAACTTGGTATCATCAATATATTTAATTTTAGCCATTCTAGTGTATGTATAGTGGCATCTCATTGTGGTTTTAATTTTTAATTTTTCTGGTAACCAATGATGTTGAGAATCTTTTCATGCACTTGGCCATTCCTGTATCTTCTTTTGTGAAAAAGCTGTTCAATTTTTCTGCCTATTTTTCTTTTGGGTTGTTTCTCTTCTTCTTATTAATACATTCTTTAGACATTCTGATACAAGTCTTCTGTTGAATATGCTTGTAAATATTTTCTCTCAAAAGGGTTTGTCTTTTCATTTTCTTAATGGTATCTTTGGATAAGCAAAACGTTTTAATGTTGACATGGTCTAATTTATCAGTGTTTTTCTTTTATGGCTCATCTTTTTTATGTCCTAAAAAATATTTGCTTATCTTGAGGTCACAAGGATTTTTCTCTGATGTTTTCTTTTAAAGTTTTATGGATTTAGGTCTTACTTTTTTTTTTTTTTTGAGATGGAGTCTCACTCTGTCACTGAGACTGAAGTGCAGTGGTGCGATCTCAGCTCATTGCAACCTCTGCCTCCCAGGTTCAAGCCATTCTCCTGCTTCACCCTCCCGAGTAGCTGGGATTACAGGTGCACGCCACCACATCCAACTAATTTTTGTATTTTTAGTAGAGACAGGGTTTCACCATGTTGGCCAGGCTGGTCTGGAACCCCTGACCTCAAGTGATCTGCCGGCCTCGGCCTCCCAAAGTTCTGGGATTACAAGCATGAGCCACTGCACACAGCCTAGGTCTTACATTTAGGTCAGTGATCCATTTTGAATTAATTTTTATAAATGGTGGGACATAAGGGTCAAGGTTTATTTTTTCCACATAGATAGCCATGTATTCCAAAACCATTTACAGAAGAAAAAAAAAAGAACAAAAACCTAGCCAGTACTGAATTTCCTTAGTATCTTTATTAAAAAAAAAAAATCAATTGATATTGTTAGTGTAGGTCTATTTCTGAACTCTTCACCCTGTACCATTGCTCTACATCTATTTCTTCTTTGACCCATAGGTTATTTAGAAATTCGCTGTTTAATTTCCACATATGAGATTTTCAAAATTTCATTTTATTACTGATTTCTAATTTAATTTCATAGTGGTTAGAGAATATACTCTGTATGATTTCAATCCTTAAGTTATTAAGACCTGCTTTATGGCCTAGCACCTGTTGTACCTTGGTAAATGTCTCATATGTACTTGCAAATAACGTATTTTATGCTGTTAATGCAAGGAATATTCTACAGATGTCAATCAGGTCAAATTGGTTGATAGTGTTAGAATCTTTTATATCCTTGTTGATTTCCTATTTAAGAATTACTGAGAAAGAAGTATTGAAATTTCCAGCTATAATTGTAATTTGTTGATTGTGCCTTTCATTTCTATCAGATTTTGCTTCATCTACTTTGGAGCACTGTATTATTTTTATAATCAGAAACTATATAAAGTCATAAACAAAGCAGCAGCCTCTTTCCCATGACATGTAAGATTTTTACAGGCTGGGTGCAGTGGCTCATGCTTGCTATCCCAGAACTTTCAGAGGCCAAGGGAGGTGGATCACCTGAGGTTGGGAGTTCAAGACCAGCCTGGCTAACATGGCGAAACCCTGTCTCTACTAAAAATACAAAAATTAGCCAGGCCCAGTGGTGCGTGCCTGTACTTGGCACTCAGCTACTTGGGAGGCTGAGGCAGGAGAATCGCTTGAACCTGGGAAGAGGTGGAGGTTGCAGTGAGCCACTGCACTCCAGCATGGTCAACAGAGCCAGACTCCATCTCAAAAAAAAAAAAAAAAAAAAAAAAAGATTTTTACAGTTAAAATATATATGCAATTCCCAAACTGAAAAGATAACACTACAAGTATTTAAGCTATATTGTTATTAAATTATTCAAAGTATTGTATAATTCAAAGTGTTTACATTTCTACATACCTAGATATTATATATTTCTATAAGAAAAACATAGGTATGAATACATGTTGTTTAACTTCATTTCCTCAATTCCTTATTTTCAAACAATAAGCTTTACTATCTTTGTAAATAACTAATTTTATACAATGTCAACACTAAAAAAGCTACTCCCTATTATAATACATACAGCAGTTCACATCTTAATGGTTTCAAGTTTTGACTGTTAAAAATGTTAAGAATAATTAATTTTAGAAAAAAGTGTGGAACCTACATGAAATTTCTTAAGGACAACACAGGCTGCTTAAAATACACTTTTTACTACGAGCACAATTACTACATGAGCCAAATTTGACAGCACAGACACCAAAGTAATTCTACATATTTTATAATGGCCACTTAAAAGACATTATTAAGGGTAAATAAGCCATAAATACCCCCCATTATTTTAGGAGGAAAATAAATAACTTTTATTATTTTGTTTTTACTGCTACCTATTAAGTTATAGACTATACAGTAAATAAAAGAAATACTAAGCAATATCAACAAACTGTAAAACAAATCAAATATGGGCTTACGTCAGTAAGACCTGTAAAATAAGGCCAGGCACAGTGGCTCATGCCTGTAATCCCAGCTATTCAGGAGGGTGAGGCAGGAGGATTGCTTGAGGTCATGAGTTCAAGACCATCCTGGGCAACATAGCAAGACCCCGTCTCTAAAAAAAAAATTTTTTTTTAAAGAATAAACTCATTTGTGTGTGAGATTTGATCCAATCATTCTAGCTTACCTGCATCCATCACTAGTTTTTAAAATTAATTAACATCTAAGGGTTTCAATTTTTTTAATATAGCTTAAATAATTAAATTCATGATTATAAATAAAATATTGCCACTTGACTTCAATCTGCTAACGGAGAAGGCATGAGGAGAGAAAGATTTTTTAATCAAGGTGTTCCTCAGCTGGAGTTATTTCATTACCCATTAAGTAACACAACTATCTGAAATTCAGTTCAAGATGCCCTTATCAACTGAACACTATTTCCTTTCTCACAGTGCCAAATCTATGTGCCAACTGCCTAAGCAACAATAGATTCGCTTTAATTAAAAATAAGGTTCTGACATCCCAGTAAAACCAAGTCAAGAATTCTGAATCTAAAATTGAATCTGAACTTCTGATGACAATGTTAACCAACACCAAGAACAGAGTTAAGGGCAACTAAGACCAAGTCCTAATCTGAAAAGGCACTGCTGAGAAATAAAACTACTTTTTATTTTATTTATATTTATTATTTTTTTGAGACGGAGTCTTGTTCTGTCGCCCAGGCTGGAGTGCGGTGGCGCTATCTGGCCTCACTGCAAGCTCCGCCTCCCGGGTTCACGCCATTCTCCTGCCTCAGTCTCCTGAGTAGCTGGGACTACAGGCTACAGGTGCCCGCCACCATGCCCGGCTTTTTTTGTATTTTTAGTAGAGACAGGGTTTTACCATGTTAGCCAGGATGGTCTCGATCTCCTGACCTCGTGATCCGCCCACCTCAGCCTCCCAAAGCGCTGGGATTACAGGTGTGAGCCACCATGCCCAGCCAATATAACTACTTTTTTAAAAAGTCTTTTACAAATAATCATCTACTCAACAACTCTTCTGTTAATTAGGTCAGCATTACTCCCATTTCATAGATGGAGAGACTGGCAGAGTTGTTGAGTGCCTTGCTCAGTAGTAGAGAGCCAGATGACAAGAATCCAAGGCAATACTAGCAGGTCCTATTCCCATTCCTGGCTTCTGTCCACAAACATCTTCCCCACCCCACACTACTGTTCTCCCTTTCCCCAGACAATTCTAAGAGGAAGAAACACCAAGAATCTCTAGAGTAGGCACACATTAAAGAAAAAGCTTACAGCTACTATGCAACATCAAAGCATAGTTCCTGAAAATTGTCAATACGAACAAATTATTCTTCCATATTCTGCAGATACTTTCTACCAAAACTATCCAGAGATGTTTCAGATCTAACCATTATAGAAACTATTTTAATATAAAAAAACTAGTATGAATTCTAGTTTCATTTTAGTTAGTAAGCACCCCCCACCCCCCACCCCCACCCAATTCCCCAGCCGCGGAGCACTACTATTACTAAGGCTTTTTTTTTTTTTTTTTTTAATTCAGGTAGGCTGAGGCAGGAGAATGGCATGAACCCGGGAGGCGGAACTTGCAGTGAGCCAAGATTGCACCACTGCAGTCCAGCCTGGGCGACAGAGCCAGAGAGACTCCGTCTCAAAAAAAAAAAAAATTTCAGGTTAATACTACTGAAATGCCAGTTACAAGGAAAAACAAAAATGCAAAACAAACGAGAACAGAGGCAGTGGGAGCAGGGGACAGGACAGGGTTAAAAGGACAAGAGGAAAAAGAGAATCATAAGCCAGTGTTAATTATTAGTGATAAAGACTCTCAGTCTTTTATGGTACAACTGCACATCTAGAATTCTAAAGCAAGAATTAACCTAGCAAATGTGTCTGGAGAGGTATGCCCTCCAGAGAAGACATTATCACTATATGGTAGTTTCCATCCTGGTATATACCGGTTAACTTTGTTTTGTTCTATAGCCAGACTGTATAAGGCATATATCTTCCAGAAGTCCATAGGATATACATACCATTATTTATGGGGGAAAAGAAACTCAAACCATAGTTCTAAAGGCAGGGAGGGAGCAAGAACTGAACACACACAGAAACCTTATTCTACCATAACGTGATATGAAATGCTTAAAAATGTTTAGTTTTGGTATGGTTTTTTGGAACTCTAACGGGGTTTTTAACATAGGGTCTATGGAGGGGCTTTATTACAAGCAGAACATTGTGTGTACTATGTTCATTTTGAGTGTGAGAAAGTGCACCGCTCCCACTAGATTCTGAAAGGGGTCCAGCAGCAAAACAAAGTTGTGAGACGCTAGCTTATATGACCGCCTTGGAAAAAACTTCTAAGCTATCGGAAAAGGGTGTTATTTTATTATCACACATGACCTTTAGCCCAAAATTTCTTTATTCAAGACATTTTATTCCAAAATACTTTGGGTTGTAACCACCCAAAACTACAACCACTCTTTGCACATAAATCATCTGTGGTAAATATTTCTTAGGCTACTTTCCTTACCAACTCTGTAATCAGAGAATAAAAATACATTTTAAGCATCAAAACTAAGCAAAACTGGCAGGTCAAACTGCCATTTTTGTTTTAAGGATAAAAATGTTTGAATGTGTGAGAAAACCAGATTCAAATGACCTTTACACTGCCAGATTTCTATTTATCTACACTCCACCATGGCCCTCTTTTAATCTAGTTAAAGCAACTGCTTCTCCCACGTTGATTAAATCCTTGAATCTAGAAATGTGGTTAAGGCCAAAAGGTTTTCTCATCATAAAAGAAATATTTCTCAACTTAATTAACTCATGCCCTCTTTTGTTAAATACAACTCTTAAACCTCCTTCCACGTAATTGACATTTTGAGTAAATTACAGTTCGAAAACCAAATCAAATCCATGATAATTTTAGAAGCTTAAAATTTTGCTCTTGAAAATTTTACTCTGCACATCAACGTGGTATCAATGTTGAACTTTGCATCTGCTTTCTAGCTACAAGCTTTTTTCTTCTAGGTCTTATAAAAAGGGTATATAAAGAAGTCACTTTCAACATTATGTCTATTATGCTGTTTTGTTTTGAAGGATTCACACACCATTGGTAGGGGTGAGGGACATAAGATATGCAGGCCCTCTCCATTAGATTCATGGATGTGTAAAGTTCTATTGCAGTTCATAACCTCATCAACTGACTTTTGGCCTAAGCAACGTCATAAAACTTCATTTCACCTTTAGAGCAAACCTTTCTCCTAGTACCTGGAGTTAAAAATAGTGCAAGCCATGCTGACCTGGGCTATTTTTATCTGGAAAATAGGGACTAGAAACAGTATAGCAAGCAAAGAAAGGCGAGTTTACCACAACAGGATTAAAACTCTCACACACTTTTTAAAAAGTCCCACTACAGTTTTAGAAATCGGATGGAAAGGTGGTAAAGCAGAGGTGAGGTACAGGGCAGAGGATCAGCTGAGGGCAGTTCACTGAGTGTTAGCAAGATATGACTAATACTGTACGTAACAAGCAATAATAAAAGTCCTCTGCCGAAGACAGAATAGTATAAAACCTTTCCTTCCCCTGCCCTTACAGATTTCTAGAGAAGATAATTTGGGAATAAAAGGTATAAAAGGTTTTTGAGAAAAGAGAGATCAAAGGACATTCAGAGTTCGGGAGGATATCTGGGAAGCAGACTTAGCTTAGATCCTAAAGGGTGTAGAAGATCTGCATTGCTGGGGAGGAGTGTGGGAGTGGTAAACCAGTCAAAGAATTCACAGATGTGCTGGGAGGAGGAGAAGGGGAGCAGAAGCAGGAAAACAGTCTGGCTGAAACACTGGTTGTATTTCAAAGAGCAGTAGCAAATCAGGGTGGATAAATGGTGTGGGCCTAAGCAGCTGGTGAGCATTAAATGTGTAAGAATCAAATTGTATCCTTAGCAAACCTCTGAAGATTTCTGAGTAAGATTTTTATGAGTGTTGGTAAATTTATATAGGATGCATATGGGTAGTACATGGAGAAAAATGAATTAAGGGGAAAAAAAGTGTGTAACAATCCAGATAGAAAGTGATTTTTAAAATTCTAATTAGAGCGGTGCAGTGGGAATTCAAATATAATACTTACTGAGTCCTCGACGCAAGATGCTGAGTACACCAATGTTGGAAATACAAGGGTTCTCGCCTCAAGTGGCTCACTATAGTAGAGGAAATGGGAATGGAAACCAGCCACAGTGAAGTATGCTATCACGGTGATGGGAAGTGCCAGAGGAACAGACAGGACAAAGTTGTAGCTCTGCTTAGAGAAATGAGGGCAAGAAGCAAGTTAGAGGACCTTCTCACCACTTTCCAAACGAAAGAAATGAGGAAATGCACAGCACTAGAAAATGAAGGTAGGTTCAGGGACCTGCAAACAGGTTCCTGTGGCTGGAACAGAAAGTATATGGTAGTGAAATGTTCTTTATAAAAAAGTAGCAATGGACAGAATGAACTAGAAAGATACAAAAAGAAAAAAAACAAACAAACAGGCTTTTGTAATAATCCAGGACAGCAATGAAGAGTGTAAATGGGAATGAGGAACAAGAGACTAATAGGAAATTAGTTTTAAATAAGCAAAATTTTCAAACTGATAAAGGAAAGTATGTTCTTCTAAAACATCATGCTGTTTCCAGACTTGGAGACTTTCAATAGACTTAACTCCAACTTAACCTTTAGAAGTCTTAGCCTAATTTCTTAAAAAAAAAAAAAAACAAAAAAAAACCTCTCCTGGCCTGCAGACCAAGTTAGGTCTCCTCTTGTGTGATCCCAATAGGATCCTGTACTTCCATCTCATAAACATAGCACTGGGAATTACAGGTTCAACATTGTATTTCCCTCACACAGTTAAGACTCCAGAAAGGCAGAGAGAATTACTTTGACCTGGGCACTGTGGTACCTTCAGTGCCTAACACAGATCAGACACTCAGTAAATAGCTGTTGAATAACTAAATGAAGTTCACAGGATCAATTTTAAATCTGTTCCTCCATCTCCCCCATCAGACAGGCTTACCAATCCTCATTCCTTCCAACAAGAGGAAACTTCAGTCTTAATCACATTGAGTTTGCAATACTTCCAGAAAATTCAGGTAGAAATGTCTGTCAGTCCTCTACAGATGCCAAAGTAAGAGACAGACGAAGGAATCTTTAACAAATCCTAATAGCTGAAGTCATGATTGTTGTTATTACTATTATTTGTTACAGTTACAGCTAATACTAATTGAGCACTGATTATCTGTTGAGTATTTCTTTATTTTCTCACCTGTCCTCAAATAGACCTATTGGATTAAGTACTGTTATTAACTCCTATCATACTGATGAGGAAATTAATGCTTTAGGTTAGAAAATGTGTCTAAAATCAGAGAGCAATTAAGTAGCAGAAGAGCTTCAACACAGGCAAACTAGTTTAAGAACTTGTGCTTCCATGAGCGCATAAGATAACCCAGGGGGAAAAAAAGTGTAGACTAGAGGGAAAAAAAGAGAAGACAAACCACAGATCATAAAGAATAGTAACATTTAAGGGGCAGACACTGCCAAGGAAGAACTGACGTAAGAACTGGTATTTATATTCTTGTATGATTCCTCACACATATGGAATGGAAAGTCACCTAATGACTTGCTTCTTGCAAAAGAATACAGCACAAGTGATGGGATGTCACTTCCATCATCAGATTACAAGACTGGGACTTCAGTCTTGCCAGCAGACACTATTGCCTTTTTGGCTTGCATACTTTATTGAAGAAAGCTGTCATGTTAGGGAAGCCCACGTGGCAAGAAACTGAAGCCCTCAGTCCAACAACCTGCCAAGAACTTAATGGTGCCAATAACCACTGAGTGAGGCTAGAAGCAGATCCCTCCCCATTCAAGCCTTAGAAGGAGACCACACACCCTGACCAATGTCCTGACTGCAGCCTGTGAGAAATAGTGAGGCAGAAGATGTAGCTAGACTGTGCCCAATTCCTTGTCTACAGAAAGTATGACATAACAAATGTGTGTTGTTTTAAGCTGCTAAACTTTGGAGTAATCTGTTATGTAGCAATAAATGACTACTACAAACTAAGAAGAAAAATCTAGAAATATAGATGTTCAAGTTCCTTCTACATACACATCTTCTGACAGTCATGAACAGAAAGTGAACTGAACTTTAGGAAAAAAAACTACCATTGTAAGTTGAGGAAAAAAAGAAAACTGAAAAATATAAGAAAAAACAACTGAAAGGATAAGACCCAGGCTAGTAAATGGGTAGCCAAAGATTTTAAAGGTGGGGTGGTTAATAGAGCTATTGCAGCAGTAAAAATATCTGGTCTAAGGGGTGGGGGGCGGGGAATCACTAAATTTTTTAGCTAAAAAGCAATTTTCAAGGCATCCATTTCAGAGTAGACCTAACAGAAATTGGTAGAAGACATCACACAGGTAAAATATGCCTTGAGATAGAATTAAAGGGTAATTATATAACAAAACTATAGAAGCCAAGCTCCTAGTCACCATTTATAGAGGAAAATTGGAAATATCAATATTAATAAGAAAAAATTCAGAGAGATGGTTAATATGGTTTGGCTCTGTCTCCTCACCCAAATCTCATATTGAATTATAATCCCCATTGTCAGGGGAGGGACCTGGTGGGAGGTGACTGGATCATGGTGACAGTTTCCCTCATGCTGTTCTCATGATAGTGAGTTCTCATGAGATCTTATGTTAAAAGTGTTTGACAATTCTCCCCGCCTCCTTCTGTCACGTAAGACATGCCTTGCTTCCCTTTTGCCTTCTGCCATAATTGTAAGTTTCCTGAGGCCTCCCCAGCCATGTGGAACTGTGAGTCAATTAAACTGCTTTTCTTTATAAATTACCCAGTCTCAGGTCTTCACAGCAGTGTGAAAACAGACAAACACAATGGTCAATCTTTTTATTCCCCAAACTTATGATTAGTCCTTTTCAATTTACTTCTTAGATTTGACATTTCCTATTAAGGTGTTATTACATAAAAATTAGCCTTAAACTGAATTGAGATGAGATTACAGCTTCCTGGGTTCTGGAGTTCATGTTTCATGTTTCTGGTTTTAATTTTTAAAAATTATTTCATACCTGACAATCTAATGTTTACCCATACTTTTGTGACCCTCTCTCACTTTAGAATCAAAAGCAAGGCTTCCTATGCTCAAAAGTCCTGGATAGTAGGCCGGGCACAGTGGCTCATGCCTGTAATCCCAGCACTTTGGGAGGCCTAGGTGGGCGGATCACGAGGTCAGGAGTTCAAGATCAGCCCGGCCAACATAATGAAACCCTGTCTCTACTAAACATACAAAAAAATTAGCCAGGTGTGGTGGTGGGCACCTGTAGTCCCAGCTACTCAGGAGGCTGAGGGAGGAGAATCACTTGAACCCAGAAGGCAGAGGTTGCAGGCAGAGGTTGCAGTGAACCAAGACCACGCCATTGCACTACAGCCTGGGTGACAGAGTGAGACTCCATCTCAAAAAAAAAAAAAAAAAAAAAAAAAAAAAAAAAAAAAAGGCCTGGATAGTATATTCTAATTTTAATAGTACCAGTATTATTTTATATTTGGTACTTTTATTTGCAATTCCAATGCCAGGCTCCACATCAAAGGGATGAAAGGCTCATACAACACTGATATCTTCACAGATCATCCAATACAGTCCCTAAGCTATCAGTAACTTTCTTCTTCTTCACTACTTTAGGAAGCTATCATATAGTCATGTGTATCATACAGTCATGTATTGATAAGTCAGTGGAACTATTTTTGATATTTTACGGTAATTCCATTCTTCCCAATTTTCTGTAACAGTTTTATTTTCAACAGTAGGTTTAAATGAAGATGTTTTATTTCTGACTTCATTTTGACATTGAATCTAAATCTATGCTTCCCTTATGTTGAACCATTCAATTTTCTCTAATGTTCCCCTAAAGTTCAAACTTCGTATATTTCTTTTTACGTGGATTCACAAGCCATCTTGAATGAGTGGTTCATGCAAGGAAGCACAGACATACTTATAGACAACACTAAAAGTGTTGCAAGGTTTCCTGCAATAATTCCTGAAGGCGGTTCCACTGGTAGAGCTGATACAAGCATACTGCACAGAGAAACCTTAAAACCTCTAGAGAAGAAAGGATGGGGCTAGAAGGTCAACAGTAGTAGTAGCTAGCACAGCCAATTTGAAGGAATGTGAAAATATAGAACATATAACTTTTTTCTTGTTGCTTGGCTGGGAAGTAAGTGTCAGCAAGCTATCATAAATGGCAACACTGAAAAAGTGGGGGCAAGAGAAGAAAAGCAGAAGACTTAGGTCAAAATAAAACAATAATTTCCTTCCAATCGCTCAAGCCAAAACCCTTTAAGTCATTCATGACTCTTCCATTCTTTCATACCCCACATCTAATGTATCAGCAAATCTCATTTGATTCTACTTTCAAAATATATCCAGAATATATCCTACACAAACTGATCTCATTTCCTATCCTACTACATCAATCACATATCCTTTACTCCTTCCACTAAAACCACAGTGGTTTCCTTGCTGTTTTCTGTTTCTTTTTTTGAGACAGAGTCTCACGCTGCTGCCCAGGTTGGAGTGCGGTGGCATCATCTTGGCTCACTGCAAGCTCCACCTCCTGGGTTCAAGTAATTCTCCTGCCTCAGCCTCCAGAGTAGCTGGGACTACAGGCGGATGTCATCACGCCTGGCTAATTTTTGTATTTTTAGTAGAGGTGAGGTTTCACCATGTTGGCCAGGCTGGTCTCGAACTCCTGACCTCAAGTGATCCGCCCACCTCGACCTCCCAAAGTGCCGTGCTTGCTGTTTTCTGAACACACCAAACACATTTCAAGTTAGGGCCTCTGTATTTGCTATTTAATACCATTCCTGAAAATGCTCCTCTTCCACATATCCACATAACTAATTTCCCACTTCATTCAAGTCACTATTTAAATGTCACCTTATTTTACCAATCTTATCTAAAAGAGTACTCCCTAGTCACTCTGTCCTTATCTTATTCTCCATCTTAATATTTACCACCTAACGTGCCATGTATTACTTGTACATCTGTTTATTGACTGTCCCTCCCCACCCCACACTTCCTCCAACTAGAAGATAAGGTCCATGAGAAGGGGGGCTTTTTGTTGTTATTCAGGACACCCTAGCTCCTAGAACAGGGCCTGTATGTGCAGGGTACTCAACATTTGTTGAATGAACAAATGAGTGAAAATAGTATCAAAACAGGACTCAGAAAATATAACAAAGGGTAAAGAGTACACGTATTTTGCTTTGGTAAAGAAATGGGACCTGGAACACTGAATAAGAAAAAAGAGAATTCCAAACTCATGAAAACTTTATGGGGATCTCAAGTCAACAGACACTGTCCAAGCTCTTCAGAAATGAAACTAATTCTGAATTGGTTATGGAAAAATGTGATTATGAAGTACAAAGGTGGCAGAAAAGTTGAGTTTTGACTACGAAATAAGGCATGAAATAAACTGTTGTAAGAGAAGATTTTGGTTAACCATCTATATCAATTTTTTTTTAGAAGAGATTTAGCTGAAATAAAAGGCAAAGACAAGCTCTGAAAATGGACTTAGTAAATTATCTGAATGCCATCATGTAGTCACAGACAATGTTCCAAGTGTGGAAACGAGGGCACAGTGGAAAAGAAGGTGGAATGTAAGCACAGAAGTAAAATCTAAGAAAAAGAAACTGCCCAAGAATGTGCTAGAATAAAAGGGAGACTGAAATAGTTGGGGTAGCTTTAAAGGCCTAAAGTGAAAAATTAAACAAAAACAACTAAGCTGACAACATCAATCCAAAGGCATATCAGAAAGGCACAGGCTTCAGAAAACATGGAAGAAGAACAAAGATTTCAAGCCTGATGGGAGAGAAAAGGGAAAGGAAAACAGGAGTAAACTGTCACTCAGAAACACAGAGTGGGAAGACAGCTCCTACTAAAGAAACAAGAGAGGGTAGGCCTACTTCAGGGCAAACGGCTTTAAATAGTATCAGAGGAAAGACAGATGGATAAAGAACATTTAAGAAAATTAGGTAGGAGAAAAATTTAAACTAGAATGTCAGATAAGCCAACATGTAGAATGACAGAAGCAAAAGGGAGAAGAAAGTCTCGAATGTTCAAGCATATTCTCAAAAATGGCAGAGGCCCAGTGCGATGGCTCATACCTGTAATCCCAGCACTTTTTTTTTTTTTTTTTTGAGACAGGCTCTCGCTGTCACCCAGGCTGGATGAAGTGCAGTGGTGCAATCACAGCTCACTGCAACCTCTACCTCCCAGGCTCAAGCGATCCTCCCACCTCAGCCCCTCAAGAAGCTGGGACTACAGACATGTGCCACCATGCCTGGTTAATTTTTGTATTGTTTTTAGAGATGGGTTTCACCACGTTGCCCCCTGGTCTGGAACTCCTGGGCTCAAGCAAATCCGCCCACCCTGGCCTCCCAAAGTGCTAGGATTACAGGCATGAGCCAGCACTTTGGGAGACCAAGGCAGGAGGATCATTTGAGGCCAACAGTTCTAGACCAGCCTAGACAACATAACGAGATCCCGTCTCTACAAAAAAATTTAAGAAATTATCCAGGTGTGGTGACACATGCCTGTAGTCCCAGCTACTACGGAGACTCAAGTGGGAGGATTGTTTGAGCCCAGGAGCTGGAGGCTGCAGTAAGCCATAATTGCACCACTGCACTCCAGCCTGGGCATGTTAGGCCCTGTCCTTTAAAAAAAAAAAAAAAAAAGCGTAAAATATGCCAAAATTAGTTAAGTAGAAATATGTATAAAGTTACAGATATGAATGAACTAAATCAAAGGTCTGTTGATTTTGTCACCAGCTCTATGACCTTGAAGAAGTTAATCTCTCTGGGACTTTTTTCTCTTAAAAAAATGTTATTTCTTCTCTTTTAAAAAAAAATGTGTAAATGCAGGAAAAGTGGTTAGGTAAAAAAATGGGTGATCATTCTAAGCCCTTTTTTCTCCAGTTTATCGGAGGGGAATGAGACAGGGAAAGCACAGAATTCTTAAAAGAATCAGAAAGATAGCAAATTTTTTAAATGGGAGAAGTAATAGTTAAGAACAGTTCTGCATAGCGCTTTACCATCTAAAAGGTGCTTTACATGAAACATTATATGTTCACCTCACAACAAGCCTGAGAAGCTAAAAACACAGGTATCACTGAACACCATTTTATAAACGGAGCAACTGACGACTCAAGAAATTAAGAAACTGGACTAAGGATACAGAAACCATAGCAGACCCAGGATCCAACCCAGATCTAATGGCAGAACCAAATCCATTATCTTTCTTTTTTTTTTTTTTGAGACGGAGTCTCGCTCTGTCGCCCGGGCTGGAGTGCAGTGGCACAATCCCGGCTCACTGCAATCTCTGCCTGCCGGGTTCAAGCGATTCTCCTACCTCAGCCTCCCAAGTAGCTGGGACTAAAAGGCATGCAACACTACACCCAGCTTATTTTTGTATTTTTAGTAAAGACAGGGTTTCACCATGTTGGTTGGCCAGGATGGTCTCAATCCCTCGACCTTGTGATCCACCCGCCTCAGCCTCCCAAAGTGCTGGGGTAACAGGCGTGAGCCACCGCACCTGGCCCCTTTCTTTCTTAATAATTTTTTTTTTAATAGAGATGAGGTATTGCCATGTTGCCCAGGCTGGTCTTGAATTCCTGGACTCAAGCTATCGTCCCACCTCAGCCTCCCAGAGTGTTGGGAATTACAGGGGTGAGTTACCACATCTGGCCCGGAATCCATTATCTTTCAAAGTTAAAATGATCTCTATTATCATCTCCTCCTCCTCCACGTAATTAAGGATTTGTGGGTATTTTTGTGGATTATTAGGTAGTAGATAAGTAAAGAGTTACATACATACAAAAAAAAAATTTTTTTTTTTTTTTTGAGATAGGGTTTTGTTCTATCACCTGGGCTCAAGCAATCATCCCACCTGAGACCATGGGCTCGCACCACCATGCCTGGCTAATTTTTTAATTTTTTTAGAGACAAAGTCTCACCATTTGCCCAAGCCAGTCTTGAACTCCTGGGCTCAAGCGATCCTCCTGCCTCAGCCCCTCAAAATGCTGGGATTATAGGCGTGAGCCACTAAAGCCCAGCCTAAAATAATCTTTTAACGTAAAATAAAATTCCTTTCGAACTAAAGGAGTTAGTTTACATGTAAACTACACATCAACTCACTACACAAAATGTTTTCACATATAGTTGATCACAATCTATTAAGACTACCCTCTCAGTCCACACGTCCCTTATAGCTGACAGAATTACTGCAGTTGTACTATTTTCAGCCTTTCTACATACAGAGTAACTCACTTTTAACTTAAATTCTGACATAGTTATAAAATCATTAAACAAGTAACTTCAATTTGTGTATCCTGGATCCCAAGCATACAAAGAGAATGGAAAAAGGAGATAAAGGTGTACTTATGTATTTAGGTTTAAATAACATAAGTTTATTTTCTCACAGTTCTACAAGCTGAAAGTCTGAGATCAGGATGCCAGCATGGTCTGGTACTGATGAGGGCTCTCTTCCTGGGTCAGTTTCGTTTTTAACATCTAAGAGGATTGTTCACCACATCTCTGTTAGTGATAATAAAACAGCTGCATTTTCCTCATCCTATTCTTTGCTCTAAAAGCCATAATCAGCCAGACCTAACTAATTAACTACAGTAATAGTGAAAAATCTTAGTAATATAATCTGCTGCTTATTAGTCCCAACCTATTTTATTACTCCTTTTCTTTATGTATGTTTTAACGGAACAGATGAAGTTTTGGATTAAATTCCAAAAATGTTATGTATATGATTCTAGTATTTCTATTTTAATGGGAAAATGTTTTCCTTCATAGTGGCGAAGAAACTCCAACAGAAAAGTTCAACATTTTCCCATGATCCTCACTCCTCTGCATTCCTCTTCCTCCTGTACCCCCAAGTCAAGGCACACTACTCTTCACAAAACAGCAGACCATGGTTTCTTTCTACTGCATATCATTGAGACTCTTCTTGATGAAAACAAGCATAAGCAAGGACATAGGATCAAAGGGCAGGGTAACGGCAAAAAGGAGAAAATCCCAAAAAGACCAGAGAAAGTGGAAACAGGAGCTTGGTTGTATCAGTGGCTACAATTACATTTCTGTTTTTCTCCTGTATGACTTCATTTTTCCCTTATGGTTCCTTTTTTAAAGTAGTTGCATAAACAGCGGCCAGATAAGCATGTTTGAAGTAGAAATTCAGGGGAAAACAAAGCCTACACTGAATGGGCCACAGACTATCATGTATCATCTGATTACCATGCCCTGACATAAAGAGCATGCAATATACATGATGTAAATAAAAAAGAACATCAGATTCTTAGTCAGAAAACCTGAATTTAAGTCCTAATATGCTGCAGAATTTCCAACAAGTGAACTAACTTTTCCTGAGTCCCACTTTTCTAATCTATAAAAAAAGGGATACAACCACCTGCCTACTGCTGTGAAAGTTGAAATGAGAAAAATACTACACATTTGCTGCATATAACTTTTAAAATCACTATAATGTTATGAAGGATAAAATTCTGAATTGAAGTCTCCCTCTGCAATCACATAAAAAAACCATATTCTGACATCTGTTAACAGTATACTGACAGGCGCATAATTCAGGTGGATAAATACAAAAGTGGCTTTTAAGCCACTATCTGAAATAAACATTGTACAGTCACCTAATAAAAAGTTTTACACAGCCCAACCATAGAGTATGATTACTCACATATAAAGCTAGTGCTATTCACCCACTTTCAACAAAATATATGTATCAAATTGCAGTTCCAGCAGTGTGCTAAATAATCTACATCTCATTTAATGTTCTACCTATAACTAGCGTAGTTAAAAAAGAGCATGGGTTTGATATCTGAATGACTTAAGTTTGAACACCAGCCAGGGTTATAGTAAGTGGTAGACCTCTGCCAAGTCTGAGCTGAAAATCCCTCAAATGTAAATTAGGAATAACACTACTCACTTCACAGAATTAAGATTATTGTGGCCAGGTGAGGTGGTTCAAGTCTGTAACCACAGTACTTTGGGAGGACAAGGCAGGAGGATCCCCTGAGCCGAGGAGTTCGAGATCAAATGATCAGCAAGACCCTGACTCTACAAAAAAAATTTTTTTTCATTTGGCCAAGTATGGTGGTGTGTGCCTACAGTCCCAGCTACTCGGAAGCTGAGATGGCAGGATAGCTTGAGTCCAGGAGGTGGAAGCTGCAGTGGGCCATGCTTACACCCTTGTACTCCAGCCAGGGCAACAAAGCAAGACCCTGTCTCCAAAAAAAAAAAAAAAAATACTCTGATTGTATCTGTATTGATCCTAATATGATGCCTAACACACTGTGGTTGGTTGCTCAATATACGGTGGGTGGTTATTTTGATTGCCTTCTCATTTCCACAAAGCAAACACCCTTGTTTTTTAGGAATAAATTACATGTTCAAACACGATTACCAAAACCTCTTTCAGCCAAGAAGTACAATGAAAGGAATTCCTGAATATCATTTATAGATCCTGAAGTTGCGTCCCTAAAATTAATATAAGCAGATCAAATCCAAAGAGTTTAAAGGTCATCCCTCCTTCATCCTGTCCCTTATTACCTGCTAATATGTACAGTTACGTGACTTAAAACCCCAACAACTAGAACTCTTGAGGAAGGAGGTACCTATTTCCTAATAGCATCTCTATGAGAAGCATTTGCTCTAAGAGCCAGGCTGTCTGCTGTCCCTTCTCTAAGGACAGGTGAAAGCAGGAAGACAAAAGAGAAAAGAGGTCTCAGCTTAACTTGGAAAGCTAAATTAACTAAGGAAAGCAGATCAAGAAAGATTTGGGACATCATCTTCTTCAAGAATCCAATTTAAGCTTATGTCCCAACTATATACTTTGGTCAGTCTTCACAGCCCTATTGTCTCAAACTAATTTCTTTCCTGCTCTGGAGCTCAGGACTTTATGTTCAGATGTGACAATTTCTTAAAGTTGTGCCCTGACAACTTTCTTAAAAATTTTATCAATGAAAATCTAGTGAAAGACCAACGCTGAAATTTCATCAGATCCCCCTTTTCCTTCCAGTTTAATATTATTCAACTGTTCCTTTTTAAGACTACAAGAAATTAAGACTTGTGCCTTCATCCAGCAATGAAGTGGCAATAGGTAAATTAGACTCCACATTGTATTTTTCCCCACAAAATGTTCACGTTTATAACTTTCTCACTGCCTATGTTCAGTCTTTCGGGCAGCCTGAGAATCACATGTAATGACTGTCAAAGTAGATGATCTGACACACACATACAGAAAAACCACTAGTTAGAGTCAGCGTGTGTGTACAAACATGCAACTGTGATGCTCTCCCAGGTCAATCTCTCAAAACCCACAAAATCAGAGACTGATGGTGGAGGAGGGTGGCCTGGGAGCAGCCACAAAGAAAAGATCAAGATCTGAGAAGTAAAATGAAAAAGAGCTGCAAGAGAGTTGGTTAAGGACGAAAGAGTCTACTGTTTATCATGAGGGAGGAAAGAGGGAATAGACTAGGTAAGAAGTGAAGAAATCTGTGGAGGAAAAACCGCAATAGTAAAGAGAAAACAAAAAGATCTCACCAAATTGGGAGGATAAAACGAGCCCTCCTGCGCCAATTCCGTGTTGTTGTTTTGTTTTGTTTTGTTTTCCAGGAAGTTACAAAACAGTTTTCAACAGAAGGATTACATTAACAAAGCAAATAAAGGAAACTGGTGCTAAAAATGTAGCCTACCTACACTGAGAGGCCTGAAGACGGAAATACTTCTTTCCCCTTTTTGTAACGGGTTTCAAAACAGTAGGAACAGGGTGAGGGATAAGAGCTATAACAGGGGGAGGGGAGTAGCCAAGCTCTTCCTGAATACAGAGTCTTTCGACTAAATGCTTATTTTAAATGTACCTTTTTGCGGTCAGCCGGCAAATTCCTAACTGAACACAGCGTTTGACTCTCAATCGAAATGTGATGAGTGGTTCAGACACCATAGGAAATTTAACAGCTTATGCAAACACAAGGCAGATGCAGAACCAGGACTTGCTTTGGGTGGTACTCTAACACCCCTTCACTGGGTGGCTAAAACGCCACTAAGGTTTGAATTGTGACCAATAGTGGAATGGAAAAAAGAAAATAGGAAAGTTAAAGCGCCTACGTTGAGTCAAAAAACCATGCAATTAGCCGGAGAAGTTTGTGAACGGGCAGTAAGTGGAAAACAGTGGATACAAAGGGGCTAACTAGATAAACAGCTACTACAAATTCTGTCCGTCTTCCTTACGGGGAGCTACACAAGAAAGAGCGAGTCCCTTCTATATAGAGGAATGCTGCTTCTCAGCCTAGGCAGTTTCAGTCGCAGGCAGGGGCTGCCCGCCGAGAAGGGCCTGTCCAGCACAAACCCGCAGCACACACTTACTTTCGTCCGGCCATTGATTTTGTAGCTGCCCAGCTTCCCGTTACAGTGGCGTATCAGGTCGTCCATGCTGCTCATGAGCAGCCCAATGGTTTCGCAGCCGGGCTCCTTGCCCTCGATCCAGGTGATCTTATCGCCTCGGATGTCCTTGGACGAGTCACTCTTCTGGCTGACCAGCTGCCCGTCCGTGAACTTCCCGGTGTCGTGCAGGGCGCGCACCTCGTCGCCGATCTGCTGTCCGGTCTCCTTGCCGAGGAAGTCGTCCACCACACAGATGCCGTGCTTGTTCATGCACGGCACGATGTACTCGAGCGCCAGCTTCAGCGCCGGCAGGGGCTTCGTCTGCCCGTTGGGCCGCAGGCCGCCGCCGGGGCTCAGCGCATCCCCGGGCGTGTTGCTTGGGGGGTACAGGTTCGCCTTCTCCTGGAACAGCGATGAGCGGGCCGGCGGCTCCTCCTTGCCGGGCTCGGCTTCGGCAGCCACCGCCGAGCCCTGGCCGCCGGCGGCCGCACGACACGGCGACGCGGCCGCCGCTGGGTCGGCCGGGGGCTTGGCCTTTACTTTTCCCTTGGCCGCGTCCCCGGAGGCGTTGTCCCGGCGCGCCGCTGCCTTCCTGGGCTCCCGGGCCCCGGCCCTGGGCGGCGGCACTGCAGCCGGCGGCGCGGGGCCGGAATGCTGGTGTGGGCCCACTCCGTGGCCGAGGGCGCCCTCGCTGCCCTGGCACACGAGCTTGTGCTTCTTCCAGTCCTGACGCTGGTGCTCCTTGCAGCAGTAGAAGGAGCTGCGGCAGCGGCTGCAGCGCAGCAGGTTCTCCATCTTCCCGCACAGCTCGCAGTACTGCCGGTCTCGCTCGCTCGGGCTCGGCCCGCCGGGCCCGCCGCTGTCATTGGCCATGGCGGCGGCGGCGGCGGCGACGGCGACTGCGGCGGCCGAGCAGGAGGGGTAGCGGCCGGACGGCCTCGCCCGAGGCTGGGGAGCGGGGAGAGAGATAGGGGCCGTTACTGCGCCATGCACCCGCTACCCTCGCCTCAGGGAGGCCGGCACCCCACGCCCTCGGCCCGGCCGCTTCCGAGTCCTAAGCTCCGGCGCAGCGCCGGCAGCCGCCTCAGCGCCTCATCGCCGCCGAGGGCTGAGAGAATAGGGCCTGTGCGGCGAATGGCAACCTGGGCTCAGGCGCGCGGGCCTGGGGAGCGCAAGACCGGCCCCCTCGGCCGCCGCCGCCGCCTCAGCGTCCCGGGCGGCCCGGCCCAGGCTGTGGAGGAGCGCAGGGCATACGGGCGCCACTCGCTCTGCGCGCTCTGCACGTACACCACGGCCCCGCGGCGACCCGGGCGGGCGGCGCGCGAGGGCGGAGGGGGCGGAGGGAGGGCCGGGAGGGCCGGGGGGAGGGCCGAGGGGCGGGGGCTGCCTGCGCTCCTCCGCACTCGGCGGGGCCGGGCCTCGGCTTCTGCCTCGGAGGTGGGTCGCCCGCTTTCCCTCCGCCCGGGACCGGACTGGGACGCCGAGAGGCCGGTGCGCTACCTCAGCCCGCAGCGGCCTCCTCGGGGACGCCGAGGCGCAGGCCCGCGAGCGGCGGAAAGGCGTGGGGCAGCGCGGCAGCGCCTACACCTGCTGGAGGAGGGCGCCAGCCGCAAGCGGGTAGCGGAGCGAAGGCGGCGTAATCATGGCTGCTCTTCCTCCAGGCCGGCGCGGGGTGTGCGAGGCTCGCTCCAGTCAAGGTTGCAAGGTGGCTATTGCGATCCTCATTTTGCAGAGGAGGAAACGGAAATTCAGAGAAGTAAAGTAACTTGCCCAAGGTCACGCAAAACTGGGACTGAATCCAGGAATCAGGCTCCCAGATTCCAAGGCTGTTTTTTCCATTACACCATACAGCCTCTATTTCAAGAAGCCCTGAAATGGTTAAGAACAAAATAAGTATTACTATGGTGTTAATCCAATCTCTTGCGCCCCGTTTCGACCTAGTTTAAAGGTAATGAAATTTGAGGGTTTTAAAAAAAATCAAAAACTCATTTTTAAAACCTTTGAAATCCCGCCGAGTTCAAAACCCCATGAAGAAATTTTGGGCTACCAAGTTAAATGTAATCAATGCTCATTCCAATATCCAATTTAAACTGATGGGATTATTCCTGAAAAGTGAATTTTGATGGTAAATGAGCAGTACTACATTAACGACTCTCACATTTATTTTTAATAGAATCTGTGCTGCGCGGATGAATACAATTCTTTGTTTTACAGAGCATAAAAACCTTACCAGAAATAAGCCAAAGATGTTTCTTTCTGCTGCTATTTGTCTTAAGAATTAAAAGGTCTGTGATTTCGAGTTTATCAATCTTTATCGAACACTATGTGGAAAGTGGGGTGCTAGGCTTGTGTATCACTTGAGTATACTGTAACTTCAGTCCTTGAAATATAGCCTTCCAAACTTAAAAAGTTGTAATATGTATTTCAAAAGCAGGATATAAGGAATTATTGTAAACCATATTGTAGAAGTTTAAAAAGAGGCTTGAATCCAAAAATATAAAACCTCTTCATCAAATATACAGAATTTAAAACTGTTATAAAATCCTGCTGCATGCGTAAATGGCATTCTGGGGATCCAATCAAGTGAAAGAGGATGATAATTCCAATTAGCTTGTCCTTTGGGAAACTGAGATAAATATACTCACATCTTCAAATTTCAAACCGAACTAAAAATCCAAGTTTCTGTAAAGAATTTAGACCTAGACCTGTCTTATGTGTATCCTACTTTCCCAGAGCTTTATTAAATACAGTAAAATGTCATTGTTGCAGACATTACTAATTAGGCTGTTCAACAAATGCATTGAGAGTCCTTGACAAACAAATGAATTAGTCATACTACACTCAGAGACACATAGTCCAATGCAGGAGGCAGGTATGTAAACAAGGACAATCCAGAGTTCAGAGTTTCCTAAAAGAGGGATGAATAGGATGGAATGGGAACACAGAAAAAGGAATTGCTAGCTCTGCCATTTGCACTAATAAAATCCAAGCAAATTAATTCAGAAATTCTTAAAATATAAAGGAGCTATCTCATGGCTTACGAAAATAAGCATTTAAAACATTTTTCATACACATAAATTATGTAAAATGTAATTTAAATACAAGTAGAGTCTAATACTTCTTAGGCTTCCTTTTGCTATAGTAATTATACATGAGGCTTAATTATTCACAAGAGCAGGAACTTTACTAGGAGGACTCATTCCACAAACACTTGATTCTTCCAACAATTTCTTTTAAATTTGCTATTTCAGTCTGTGGTGTGTCCACAAATTATTTACATCTCTATATGCTCTACTCATATATTTTCATTGAAGTTTACTTAAAAGAATAGATGTCCATATCAAAACCTTTATTAGCTTTCTTGTTCCAATTAAGTATACAAAATCACAAATTGAACATGTATATCCTAAATATACTTAATCCATCAAATAGAACACTTGCAACACTTTAATGAATACAACAGGAAAATATAAAATACTGATTTCAAATAGTTCCAAAGATCCTTGATTTCAGGATTTTCACCTATTCAGGCTTAATAATCTGAACTAATTCCAAATTAGTGAGTTTTCACCACACCATATGCTGGTGAACAATCTTGTCACCAACACGATTCTGGAACTCCAGTAGCATTGTCGCAGCCGCCACTTACTCAGATGTTATAGAGAGACTTCAAAATGTCATGCAAGTATTTATTTATTTATTTACTTATTTAAACTTTAACGGAAGGCAACACAAAGGAATTTATCTTATAAACACATGTGGTGCTTGCTGTTATGTGCCCAATCTGTGTTCTAAGCATTTTAAAAATATTAACCAATTTAATCATCATACAATGCTATGAAGTGGGTACTATTATTCTACCAATTTTACAGAAGGTGAAACAAATAGAGAGTGAGGCAATGAATGTCCCTCCCAATCCTTAATATT
The DNA here is from genome assembly GCF_000001405.40 of Homo sapiens. Classification (NCBI taxonomy): domain Eukaryota; kingdom Metazoa; phylum Chordata; class Mammalia; order Primates; family Hominidae; genus Homo; species Homo sapiens. Next base: position 231,424,943 of record NC_000001.11, read on the forward strand.
GTATGATTAGGAGCACTAGGTGGGTTAACTAATACTCTGGGGCAAACAAAGCCTTGTGTCTCTCAAAGCCATTAATTATTACAAATGTTTTTCTGCCCCTAACCTAATCAAAAGCAACTGTTCTAGAAACTGAAGAATGAATTAAAGTAACAGTGCTTTCCTCTCCATATCATACCAACTTAGACAAAGCTAATTGACCACCTATTTGGCTTCCCTTTGCTCTTCTGGCAGTATTTAGTTAAGCTATAAAGAAGTAGCCACTGTGAACTGACAAGAACTAAAAGAGGCAAAGCTTATGTTAACTACAAGAACAGAATTGAAGGAGGAAATGAATTTAGAAACGACTGTGTTGACTCTTGAGGAAAGCCCACTGAACAACAATCTGCCTTCCAAGGAGTAGCCCTATTTCTCCTTTAAAAATGTTTTTAAAAACACAACAGAGTATCTTTTCTGCTCAAGAAATCGAACATCTGATTGTTAACTAATGACCTCTTGTTTCCCCATCTGTGACAATCTTGTTTTAATAGGTTACAGAGAACAGAAAAATCACAAGTATAGCATAGGCATTCCACCAAGATAAACAGGAAGACAATCTTTGAGTTCTGGGAAAAGCAACTCAAAAATCTGAGCCATTTTCTAACTATAGTATTAGGACACACACAAGTAGGTGTCATTGGAAAACAGCACCTGCTTGTCTCTGTACTGGGGGTTCTGCCAGATGCACACGTGAGCTATGTGCTTCTCCTTGTACATGGAGACAGCTGTACTTTCCACCAAGGTTGTTCCCTTATGAAAACAAAATAATTGAATAGATTTGCTATATATTGGGGCGATTTATCAGTCATCAAACTTTATCAGTTTATGATTGAAAAATTACCACCAATCCTGTTAAAATTGATCATCTCAGAAATATAACAAAAATTTATAATCATCTCTCATTATAGCGAATTTTTTAAATAAATGCTCAAAAACCTGGGATACTAAATAACGTGTCGATCTAATTTTTTTTCCTAACAAACATTACCTTAATGTTGAACCAACTTTTGGGATAGTCACAATCAGTGACTTATACCAACCCAGGTTGGAGAAAGCTAAATAATTTTTCCTGTAACATTTTCTTGTGGGAAAAGTTAAACATATGCAAAAAGAGAGATAATAGTATAATCAACCTCAGCCCTAATGAGTTCAACAGTTATCAGCTTCAACAATTATCAACATTTGTTGATAGACAATTCTTCCCTACCCTCCTCCCTACTATGTCCCCCACTTTTTTTGCTAAAGTATTATAAAGCATATCCCAACTTCAATATGCACATCTGATAAGAACTTTCAAAAATCATATCCACCATGCCATTATCACACAAAATTAAGAAAAATCTCAATACTATCCATCATCCTCCAAGTATTAAATTTTTTTCGATTATATCAAAGATTCTGTTTACAGTTGCTTTATTCAATTCAAGATCTAAACAAGTCCATACATTGCACTTAGTTGTTTCTTCCTCCACCCCGCCCCACCTAATACCATCACAAATTGTCATATTTCTTAAGTCCCTTTTACTCAATTTTACCAGCATCTCACCCTTCATACTATAGATTTACTGTAGAAACTAGGCCATTTGTACTACGGAATGTCCCATATTCTAGATTTAGCTGATTACTTCCTTGTGATATTACTCCTATTTCTGCAAATAGGTAGATTTAGGATTTTTATTAGATTGAGGTTCTATATTTTAGGTAAGCATACTTTGTGGTAGTTGCCGTGTATTTCCTATTACATCACATCATGAGGCACATATGTCTGATACTTGCATTTTAATGACGAAATATTGCTCATGGGTTGAGGTGGTGTCAGCCTGATTCCTACATTACGTTTTTCATCAAACATCACCTGATTATTTTAGCATCCATTAATTGTGACTCAATCCAGTATTTCATTAGACGTTGCAAAATAATGAATTTCTAATTCTAACATTCCTCCTAAATTTATTAGCTGGAATTCTACCATAACATTTTTCATTAACTCTTTGGTTATCCTGAAATATAGTTTGTAGATGAAAGATAGGGTCCACGTTTCTTTTCATTTATCAATTTTCAAAATAATGAGTTAGTGCTCTAGCAACTTCTAATGAGCTTTTTTAAAAAAATGATCATGAATATATGTATTTTCATATATTTGAAGTGCATTAATTATTCTTTTTGATGCTCAAATCGTCCCACTTTTGGCCAGTGAGAAATTATTTGAGTTGGTTCCTATGTATTGTAGATGTGGTCACATTAATCTTTGATAGTTTTCTTGCTTTCTGGCACAAAATGGCCCAAACTTATCTTGTGCATTTTCTGCCCCTGACATGGAATCAGTCATTCCTCCAAAGAGCCTCAGTTCCTTTAAGTAGGAAATGGCAGTCAGAAACCATAATCAGGAGTACTCATTGCCACTGGGCTGTCATTACTTCTAAGTCTTTCTAATAGAGCTGGAAAATCGATAATTTTTTCAAGAGAAAAAAATCTTGAATTCATACTGATATTTCCAATTCAAATGTAAGATTACAGAGTTTTAACTTAATTTCTTTGATTTTATATTTGTAATTTTTTTTTCTTGACAGGTTGAGCAGCCTTTATCCAAAATGCCTGGAACCAGATGTGTTTCAGATATTTTCAGATTTTGGAATATTTGCACATACGTAAAGCAATATCTTGGGGATGCAACCAAAATCTAAACACAAAATTCATTTATGTTTCATATATACCTTATACACAAAACCTGAAAGTAATTTTATACAATATTTTCAATAATTTTGCACATGAAACCGTTTTGCCTGTGTTTTGATTACAACTCATCACATGAGGTTAGATGTAGAATCTTCCACTTGAGGTGTCATGTTGGCCTCAAAAAGTTCCACATTTTGGAGCATTTCGGATTTTGAATTTCTGGATGAGGGATGCTCAACCTGCACTAAAAATTTTGTTTCCTAATGACATTTACATAATTGCTTATCTGCTATATTCTAAAAAATAATTACGATAGTTTCACGATACAATACCAATGTTGCTACTACCAATAAGACTAATTACTGAATGCAGTTTGATATTTTATGGCATTCTTTTTGTCTACATAATATATCCCATTAAGAATGGATGGCCAAAATACTGTGTTTTAAAGTCATCTAATTCTTTTCTCTGTGTATTAGTCCATTTTCACACTGCAATAGAGAAACTACCCACTTTGGGAGGCCGAGGCAGGCAGATCACTGAGGTCAGGAGTTCGAGACCAGCTTGACCAACGTGGTAAAACCCCGTCTCTACTAGAAATACAAAAATTTAGCTGGGCGTGGTGGTGGGTGCCTGTAATCCCAACTACTCGGGAGGTTGAGGCAGGAGAATTGCTTGAACCCAGGAGGCAGAGGTTGCAGTAAGCTGAGATCATGCCACTGCACTCCAGCCTGGGCAACAGAGCAAGACTCTGTCTCAAAAAAAAATAATAATAATGATAAAGAAAGAAATAAACTACCTGAGAATGGGCAACTTATAAACAAAAGAGGTTTAACTGACTCACAGTTCCGTATGGTTAGGGAGGCCTCAGGAAACATACAATCATGGTGGAAGGCAAAGGGGAAGTAAGGCACATCTTATATGGCAGAAGGAGGTGGAAGGAACTGCCAAACACTTTTAAACAATCAGATCTCGTGAGAACTCACTCACTATCATGAGAACTGCATGGGGGAAACTGCCCCCATGGTCCAGTCACCTCCCACCGGGCCCCTCCCTTGACACATGTGGATTACAATTCAAGATGAGATTTGGGTAGGGACACAGAGGCAAACCATATCATTCCACCCCTGGCCTCTCTCAAATCTCATGTCTTTTTCACATTTCAAAACCAATCATGCCTTCCCAACAGTCCCCGAAAGTCTTAACTCATTCCAGCATTAACTCAAAAGTGCAAGTCCAAAGTCTGAGACAAAGCAAGTCCCTTCTGCCTATGAGCCTGTAAAATCAAAAGCAAGTAGTTACTTCCAAGATGTAATGGGGATACAGGCATTGGGTAAATATTCCTGCTCCAAATCGTATAAATTGGCCAAAACAAAGGGGCTCCACAGGCCCCATGCAAGTCCAAAACCCAGCAGGGCACTCATTAAATCTTAAAGCTCCAAAATAATCTCCTTTGACTCCATGTCTCACATCCAGGGCACAGTGATGCAAAGGTTGGCTCCCAAGTCCTTGGGCAGCTCTGCCCCTGTGGTTCTGCAGGGTACAGCCCCTAGGGCTGCTTTCCTGGGCTGGCGTTGAGTGCCTGCAGCTTCTCCATGGATCTGGAGGACAGTGGCTGGTTGGTTTTTTTTTTTTTTTGAGATGGAGTCTCACTCTGTTGCCCATGCTGGAGTGCAATGGCATGATATTGGCTCACTGCAACCTCTACCTTCCAGGTTCAAGCAATTCTCCCTGCCTCAGCCTCCAGAGTAGGTGGGATTACAGGCACCCACCACCATGCCCAGCTAATTTTTCTATTTTTAGTAGAGCTGTGGTTTTGCCATGTTGGCCAGGCTGGTCTCAAACTCCTGACCTCAGTTCATCTTCCCGCCTTGGCCTCCCAAAGTGCTGGGAATACAGGCATGAGCCACCACACTGGGCCAGCCCACTTCTTACAGCTCCAATAGGCAGTGCCCCAGTGGGGACTCTGTGGGAACTACAACCTCACATTTCCACTCCGTGTTTTCCTAGTAGAAGTTCTCCATGAGGTCTCTGCCCCTGCAGCAGACTTCTGCTAGACATCCATGCATTTCCATACATCCTCTGAAACCTAGGTCAAGGCTTCCAAAGCTCAGCTCTTGTCTTCTGCATACCCACAAGCCCAACACCATGTGAAAGCCACCAAGGCTTGGGGCTTGCACCTTCTGAAGCAGTGACCCAAGCTGTATCTTGTCCTCTTTTAGCCACAGCTGGAGCTGGAGCACTTGGGATGCAGGGCACCATGTCCTGATGTGTCCGGAATTGGTGGGTTCTTGGTCTCACTGATTTCAAGAATGAAGCTGCAGACCCTCGCAGTGAGTGTTACAGTTCTTAAAGGCGGCATGTCCGGAGTTTGTTCCTTCTGATATTCGGATGTGTTCGGAGTTTCTTCCTTCTGGTGGGTTCGTGGTCTCGCTGGTTCAGGAGTGAAGCTGCAGACCTTCGCAGTGAGTGTTACAGCTTTTAAGGCGGCATGTCTGGAGTTGTTTGTTCCTCCTGGTGGGTTCGTGGTCTCGCTGGCTTCAGGAGTGAAGCTGCAGATCTTCGCAGTGAGTGTTACATCTCATAAAGGCAGTGTGGACCCAAAGAGTGAGCAGCAGCAAGATTTATTGCAAAGAGCGAAAGAACAAAGCTTCCACAGCATGGAAGGCAACCAGAGCGAGTTGCTACTGCTGGCTCAGGCAGCCTGCTTTTATTCCCTTATCTGGCCCCACCCATATCCTGCTGATTGGTCCATTTTACAGAGAGCTGATTGGTCTTACAGAGAGCTGATTGGTCCATTTTACAGGGTGCTAATTGGTGCATTTAGAATCCCTGAGCTAGACACAAAAGTTCTCCATGTCCCCACTAGATTAGCTAGGTACAGAGTGTCAACACAAAAGTTCTCCAAGTCCCCACCAGAGTAGCTAGATAGAGAGTGTCAATTGGTGCATTCACAAACCCTGAGCTAGACCCAGGGTGCTGATTGGTGTGTTTACAAACCTTGAGCTAGATACAGAGTGCCGATTGGTGTATTTACAATCCCTTAGCTAGACATAAAGGTTCTCCAAGTCCCCACCAGACTCAGGAGTCCAGCTGGCTTCACCCAGTGGATCCCGCACTGGGGCCGCAGGTGGAGCTGCCTGCCAGTCCCGCGCCATGCACCCGCACTCAGCCCTTGGGTGGCTGATGGGACTGGGCGCCCTTGGAGCAGGGGGTGGGGCTCCTCAGAGAGGCTCCAGCCGCGCAGGAGCCCATGGAGTTGGGGAGAGGCTCAGGCATGGCGGGCTGCAGGTCCTGAGCCCTGCCCAGCGGGAAGGCAGCTAAGGCCCGGGGAGAAATTGAGCACAGCAGCTGCTGGCCCAGGTGCTAAGCCCCTCACTGCCCAGGCCGGCGGGGCCAGCCAGCCACTCCAAATGCGGGGCCCACTGAGCCCACACCCACCCGGAACGCGTGCTGGCCCGCAAGCACCACGCGCAGCCCTGGTTCCCACCTGCGCCTCTCCCTCCACACCTCCCCGCAAGCTGAGGGAGCCGGCTCCGGCCTTGGCCAGCCCAGAAAGGGGCTCCCACAGTGCAGCAGCGGGCTTAAGGGCTCCTGAAGCGTGGCTAGAGTGGGTGCCAAGGCTGAGGAAGCGCCGAGAGCGAGCGAGGGCTGTGAGGGCTGCCAGCACACTGTCACCTCTCACCGAGGCTGCACAGAGAAGCAGGACCATGGATCCTACCCAGGAAACTATTTTTCCCTCCTAGGTCTCCAGGCCTGTAATGGGAGGGCCTGCCTTGAAGGTCTCTAAAATGCTCTGGAGACATTTTCCCCATTGTTTTGGCTAGTAACATTTGGCTTCTCTTTACTTATGCAAATTTCTGCAGCTGAAGGCTTGAATTTCTCCCCAGAAAATGGGTTTTTCTTTTCTATGGCATGGTCAGGCTGCAAGTTTTCCAAACTTTTATGCTCTACTTCCCTTTTAAACATAAGTTCCAATTTCAGATCACCTTTTTGTGAACACAGATGACTGCACACTTTCAGAAAAAGCCAGGTCATACCTTGAACACCTTGCTTCTTAGACATTTCTTCCACCAGATACCCTAAATCATCTCTCTCAAGTTCGAAGTTCCACAGATCTCTTGGGCAGGGGCAAATGCCAACAGTCTCTTTGCTAAAGCCTAGCAAGAATGACCTTTGCTCCACCTCCCCATAAGTTCCTCATCATTAAGTTCTACAGAAGCATTTGATGATTATCAAAAGAGGCAAGTTATGGTTTCTGCATTTAGTCATGAATAGACTATTTTTAAGCTTTTGTCACCAGTAGTGGGCCATGACTGCAAGTTGTCCAGGTTCTTGGTGTTTTGAACAAAGAATTGGACAAAATGCCGAGCAAAGCAAAGAAAGAATGAAGCAACAAAAGAATGAAAGCAGGGGTTTATTGAAAACAAAAGTACACTCCACACTGTGGGAGTGGACCCAAGCAGTGGCTTGAGGGCCCAGATACCGAATCTTCTTGGGTCCAAATACCCCCTAGAAGTTTCCCATTGGCCACTTCATGCTCGCTTCACGTAAATGAAGTGGTGGCCCGCAATCAGTCTGATTGGTTGCAGAAAGCAGCCAACCAGAGGCTGGAGTGAAGTAACAAAGGTCACACTCCTGTGCAAACATCTGATTGGTTGCAATCAGAGGCTAGGGTGAAGTTACAAAGTTGCAAATGAAGACTCTACCAGCAATCAGTCTGATTTGTTACAGACAGCCAATTTCCCATCTGCTAGGCAGAAAAGGTCAAAGGGAGGGGTTTCCTTTCTATTTAGTTTTAGGAAGTCGGTATGAAACAACCTTAGGTTCCTTGCCTCCAGGCACTATTCTCCTGCCTCACTTTTATTTTGAAAGAATCGCAAAGTTCCAGAAAATTTGCAAGAATTATAAAGAGAACTTCTCTATATCCCTTACTTAAGTTTACTAATTTAAACCTGTTTTATCATTCCCTCTACATATATATATCTTATCTATATTCATATTATTGTTTATTTTTTCTGAACCATTTCAGAGTAGGTTGCATGCATCATGCCCTTTTATGCCCTAATACTTCAGTATCTATTTGCAAGGATAGTCAGACAAGCAAGTAAAAATAAATTTTAAAAACCACTTAGAATCATACATTCAAAGACAATACTTAACTGATTAAAGTCTCCTCCCAGGCCAGGCATGGTGGCTCACACCTGTAATCCCAGCAATTTGGGAGGCTGAGGTGGGAAAATCACTTGAGGTCAGGAGTTTGAGACCAGCCTGGCCAACATGGTGAAACCCTATCTCCACTAAAAGTACAAAAATTAGCCAGGTGGTGGTGCATGCCTGTAATCCCAGCTACTTGGGAGGCTGAGGTAGGAGGATCACTTGAAACTGGGAGGCGGAGGTTGCCAGGAGCCTAGATGGCACCATTGCACTCCAGCCTGGGTGACATAGCGAGACTGTCTCAAAAAAAAAAAAAAGAAAGAAAGAAAGAAAAAAAAAATGGATCAGACAGAATGTGATGGGAATGGAAAACAGGCATCCACACAGAATACAATATACATATAATTGAAGTCTCCTGAAGAAGATAAATGAAACAATGGAACAAATCCAGAGCAACATACAAAGCTATTTGAAGCTTCAAAAAAAGATACAACTCCCTACCAGAATAAATCCAGCTCTCTTTAAGGAAAGACAACAAAATCTGGCACTCAACAAAAAAAATTCACAATTTTCAATATCCAATTAAAAATTACTAAACATGCACAGAAGCAGAAAAATGTGATCCATAAGCAAAGAAAAATTGGTCCACTTGCAACAGACCCAGAAAGTATGGAATTAGTAGCTAAATCCTTTAAAATATGTTGTTTTTTTTTTTGAGACAGAGTCTTGCTCTGCCACCCAGGATGGAGTGCAGTGGCACTATCTCGGCTCACTGCAACCTCTGTCTCTGGGTTCAAGCGATTCTCCTGCCTCAGCCTCTCCAGTAGCTGGGATTACAGGTGTCACACCAAGCTAATTTTTTGTATTTTTAGTAGAGATGGGGTTTCACCGTGTTAGCCAGGCTGGTCTCGAACTCCTGACCTCATGATCCGCCTGCCTCAGCCTCCCAAAGTGCTAGGATTACAGGCGTGAGCCACTGCACCTGGCCTAAAATATCTTTTATAAATATGCTGAAGGATGTAAAGGAAAATGTAGGCGCAATGAGTTGAGAAATGGAAGATATAAAAAGAAAAAGCCAAATGGAAATTTCAGAGCTGAAAAAGACAGTATCTGAAATGAAACATTTCACTGCACAGAATTATTAGCATGTTAAACATTATAAAAGTAAAGATCATGAACCTGAATATATAGCAACAGAAATGCCTTTAGCGCCAGGCGTGGTGGCTCATACCTGTAATCCCAGCACTTTGGGAGACCAAGGCAAGCAGATTGCTTGAGCCCAGGAGTTTGAGAATAGTCTGGCAACATGGCGAATCCCCATCTCTACAAAAGGTACAAAAAATGCTGAGCATGGGCCGGGCAGGGTGGCTCACGCCTGTAATCCCAGCACTTTGGGAGGCCAAGGTGGGCAGATCATGAGGTCGGGAGTTTGAGACCAGCCTTACCAACATGGAGAAACCCTGTCTCTACTAAAAATACAAAATTAGCCTGACATGGTGGCGCATGCCTGTAATCTCAGCTACATGGGAGCCTGAGGCAGGAGAATCGCTTGAACCCGGGAGGCGGAGGTTGCAGTAAGCTGAGATCGTGCCATTGCACTCCACCCTAAGCAACAAAAGCGAAGCTCTATCTCAAAATAATAATAATAAATAAAAAAGAAAAATGGTGGTGCACACCTGTAGTACCACCTACTTAGGGGGCTGAGATGGGAGGTTTGTCTGAGCCCAGGAGGTCAAGGCTGTAGTGAGCTGTGATCATGCCACTGCACTCCAGCCTGGGCGACAGAGTGAGATTCTGTCTCAAAAAATAAATAAAATAAAATAAAAAATATTTTTTAGAAAGCTTTCAAGCAGAAGCATTCAAGAGGGAAAAAGACTGAAAAGAAAAAAAGTGACCTGTGGGACAGTACCAAGTTGTTTAATATATTTGTAATTGGAATTATCAGTATAAACTGATGATTTCCTAGCTCTGTCAGTTGAAAGGAACTAGAAATAATGACACTCAGTTGGAACCAGCACACAGTATCAATTAATAGATTTTGGTTTCCCAGATACCTTTGCCCACTAAAAGGATGCAGGGTCCTTGAAGAAATGACTAATCCCAGGTTTGGGGCACAGAAGAAATGACTAATTCCAGGCACAGATGAGCATGGAGCATCTTGGGCCAGAAAGTAATAAAGTGTTCAAACAAAAAAAATTATGGCTCCCATTCCAGTCTATCCATGAATATACACAGAAGTCAGCTCAAAGGGGCTCTCATCATCCAAGTCTGGGAAAATTTGAGCATCACAATAAATAAGGATGGTAATAATATATAATGTATTAAGTTCAGTTAAATCCATGAGTCTATACTAATGATTAAGTAAATAAAAGGGCCAGGCACGGTGGCTCACGCCTGTCATCCCAACACTTTGGGAGGCTGAGGCGGGTAGATCACTTGAGGTCAGGAGTTTGAGAGCAGCCTGGCCAACGTGGTGAAACCATATCTCTACTAAAAATACAAAAATTAGCCGGGTGTGGTGGCATGTGTCTGTAATCCCAGCTACTCCGGAGGGTGAGGCAGGAGAATCACTTGAACCCGGGAGGCGGAGGTTTCAGTGAGCCAAGATTGCACCACTGCACTCCAGCCTGGGCAATGGAGCAAAACTCTGTCTCAAAAATAAATAAATAAATATATAAAAGAAGGCCTGTACTTAAAATTCTAATTGTTAATTTGGAGTGAGTGGTGGGGCTGGATAGATTCCATTCTGGTTTGGGCAAGAATTGTCAACGAATGATACGTCTACTTTGATGAGGTCTTAAAGTGTCTTCCACTTAGTTGCACAGTGGAAAATAGTAACTATACAGTGCAGAAACAAGACAATATCTTGACTAGGTCATCAAAATTAATATTACTAACCAAGGGCCAATTTATATCATGTGTCTCCCAAGTGTGATATCCTGAGAAGGACACTACTTATGTGGTATTTGGGGCAGAGAATGCATAACCTGAATTTGAATCTAATCATGAGGAAACATTAGACAAACATGAAGTGAAGAACATCCTATAAAATAACTGAAATATATTCTTCAAAAATGTCAATGTCATGAAAGACAAAGGCTGAGGAACTGTTCCACATTAAAGAAGAATAAAGAGACATAACATACCACCCAAAGTAATCTACACATTCGATGCAATCCATATTAAATACTAATGATATTTTTCATAGAAATAGGAAAAACAATTCTAAAATTCATATGAAACCAAAAAAGCCCAAACTGGCAAAGCAATCCTGAACAAACAGAAAAAGCTAGATAAATCACACTATTTGACTTCACGATATACTACAAAGCTATAGCAACCAAAACAGCATACTAGCATTAAATCAAACACATAGACTAATGAAATAGAATAGAGAACCCAGAAATAAATCCACATATGTACAGCCAACTGATTCACAACAAAGGTGCCAATAACATTGGCTGGGGAAAGGACAGTCTCTCCAGTAAATGGTACTGGGAAAACTGGATATCCATATGTAGAAGAATGAAGAAACTAGACTCCTATCTCCCACCATATATAAAAATCAACTCAAAATGGATTAAAACTTAAATGTAATACCTGAAACTATGAAACTACTAGAAGAAAACAAAGTGAAATGCTTCAGGACAACGGTCTGGGCAAAGATTTTATGGATAAGACCTCAAAAGCACAAATGTCAGCAAAAGCAAAAATGGACAAATGGGATCATAACAAACTTAAAGGCTTCAGCACGGCAAAGGATATACTCAATAGAGTAAACAGACAACCTGCAGGATGGGAAAAAAGTATTTGTCATAGAATAGAAGAAACTGTTCATCTGATAAAGGATTAATATCCAGAATACACAAGGAATTCAACTCAATAGCAAAGAAACCCAAATAATTATATTTTAAAATTGGCAAATGATCTGAATAGACATCTCTGAAAATACACAAATGGCCAACAAGTATATGAGAACATACTCAACATCACTAATCATCAGGGAAATGCAAATCAAAATCACAATGAGGTATCATCTCATTCCAGTTAGAATGGCTGTCTGGCTATCATCAACAAAGACAAAAAAACAAAAAAAAACAAAAACAGATGTTGGCAAGAATGTGAAGAAGGGGGAAACTCTTATACATTCCACTATTGGTTGGAATGTAAATTAGTACAACCACTATGGAAAACAGTATGGAGTTTCCTCAAAAAACTAAAAATAGAACTACCATATGACCCAGCAATCCCACTACTTAGTATATATTAAAAGCAAAGGAAATCAGTATGTTGAAGAGATAGCTGCACTCCCATGTTTATTGCAGCACTGTTCACAATAGCTAAGATAAAGAATCAACCTAAGTGTCCATCAACAGATGAGTGGATAAAGAAAATATGTATATATAAATGTATATACATCATGTACATAGTAGAATATTATTCAGCCATAAAAAAGTGAATCCTGTCATTCAAGGAAACATGGATGAGGCTGGAGAACATTATGTTAAGCGAAATAAGCCAGGCACAGAAAGATAAATGCCACATGCTATCACCCATATGTGGAAGCTAAAAAAGTTGATGCCGTAGACATAGAGGGGAGGATAGTGATTACTAGAGGCTGAGAAGTGTAGAGGGGAGGTGGGTGGGAGAAGTTGGTTAATAGATACAAAATTACAGCTAGATAGGAGGAATAAGTTTGAGTGTTCTATAAAGCACTGTAGGGTGACTATAGTTAACATTATTATACAATAATTTATTGTATATTTAAAAATAGCTGGAAGAGAGGATTTTGAATGTTTCTAACAGAAAGGAATTACAAATGTTTAAGGTGATAAATTTGCTAATTGCTCTGATTTGATCATTACACATTGTACATACAAATCAAAATATCACGCTGGGCCAGGTGTGGTGGCTCACACTTGTAATCCTAGCATTTTGGGAGGCCGAGACTGGCGGATGGATCACTTGAGGTCAGGAGTTCAAGACCAGCCTGGCCAACACAGTGAAATCCAGTCCCCACTAAAAAATACAAAAAAAATTATCGGGGCATGGTGGCCGGTGCCTGTAATCCCAGCTACTCTGGAGGTTGAGGCACAAGAATCACTTGAACCCAGAAGGCAGAGCTTGCAGTGAGCCGAGATCGCCTCACTACACTCCAGGCTGGGCAACAAAGTGAGTCTCTGTCTCAAAAAAAAAAAAAAATCACACCATACCCCATAAATATGTACAATTATGTGTTAATTTAAAAATAATGAAAATAAGTAAATAATTTGTTTTTAAAAAAGACATGACAACTAAATGCAGTATGTCATGCTGAACTGGATCCTATACTAAAGGGGAGGAAAATACAATTGGCTCTCTCTATTGGTAGGTTTCCCATTTGTGGATTAAACCAACTATGGATTGAAAATATTTTGGAAAAATAACTAAAATACAACAATAAAAATAATAGAAAAATTTAAAAATACAGCATAACAACTATTTATATAGCATTTACATTATAATAGGTATTATACATAACCTAGAAATTATTTAAAGTGTACAGGAGGAGGTGCATAAATTATATGCAAATACTATGCCATTTTATATAAGGAACTTGAGCATCCATGGATTTTGGTTTCTGCAGAGGTCCTGGAGCCAATCCCCTGTGGATACCAAGGGATGACTATACTATAAAGACATACAGACATTTGATGAAAATGGAATGTGGACTTCTGTTTTTGTTTTTGTTTTGAGACAGGTTCTCACTCTGTCACTCAGGCTGGAGTGCAGTGGTGTATTAATATCTCACTGCAACCTTGAACTCGTGGGCTCAGGCGATCCTCTCTCCCCAGCCTCCTGAGTAGCTGGAATTACAGGCATACACCACCATCATGGCTAATTTTTGTATTTTTTTGTAGATATGGGTTCTTGCTACGTTGCCCAAGCTGGTCTCGAACTCCTGGGCTCAAGCAAGCCTCCTGCCTTGGCCTCCCAAAGTGCTGGGATTAAAGGCATAAACCACCATGCCCAGCTGGAATAGGACTTCCGATTTGATAAAAGTATTGTAATTTCCTGATTTTAACAAGTGTACCATGGTTATATAAAAGAATATCCTTGCAAATAGACACTGAAGCACTAAAAGGTAAAGGGGCATGATGCATGAGATCTAGTCTCAAATGGTTCAGAAAACAAACAATAATATGAATATAGATAAGATATAGATATGTAGAGAGTGATAAAACAAGTTTAAATTAGTTAACTTAGGTAAAGGATATAGAGAAATTCTCTTTATTATTCTTGCAAATTTTCTGGAACTTGGTAATTATTTCAAAATAAAAGGATAAAAATAGTCTATTCATGACTAAATATTTGCCTCTTTTGGTGATCATTAAATGCTTCTATAGAATGTTGGGTCTGGTGACCATATCACCTAACCTTAGTCTTGTCTTGATATAGCAAGAAATCAAAATTCTTGGTGTTCAGGTTGGTGAATCCTGGAACAACTGATTTCTTTCTCCTACAGTCTATTTCAAATCTTATGGTTTAAATTAACTGAGACAAGAGCAAAGCAAAAAATAAATTTCCTGATGAATTTCAAATCAAACACGACTAACTCCATTTGAATGCTAAGAAGCCATATGTCATTTGGCACAATATGGTTGTAAATAGCTGTAGACCATTCCTCTGTATATTATTGTAAGTTGTTTCCAATTTTTTGCTCACCACAAGCAAAAAATTTTTCCTTTTCAAATTCCCCATATTAATTTTCCTTTCTCTATAACCAAGTGAAATGTCTTTCTCTACATTTTTCAAATCAATTTATAAAATGCTTGTATATATTATAGAGGGCATAGCATCAAAGCATACAGATAAAGTCAAATCCACCACTCTTCTAGAGACTCTTCTCCATACATTAGCTGGAGAAGAGTCTCCAGCATCACCATGACCATTTTATGTGAACATAATAGAAGGATGTAGTTTGCATGTTTGAATGCATGAATCTGCAACTTCCTTTGCCACTGGACCTTTGAATGACCCTCTTCTTTCTTGCTGGCAGAATAATTTGGACTCCTCAGATCTTTAAATGCTTGCATAGCATCTATAACAACTCTTTTCTCTTGGTCAGATTTTGCTAATGCATGGTCCTATGGTTTGAATATTTGTCTCCTCCAAAACTGATGTTGAAACTAACTTTAAAGGTGGGTCCCACTTAATGCTCAGCAAAAACTCACTAAGACACATGACATTCCCAGAAGCCAAAAGAAGATATCTTTTGCAGATAATGGCCTCTAAATATATTTTTGAGCTCTTGACTCTTAAATGAGTCAGTGTAATTATGTAAAGGGGGCTTTCACAATAGTAATGCCAAAATTAAAGTAAATATTATTAGTACTAAATTTTAGGAATCACCAGCAATGACCTAGGAAAGATTAAGAAAATGATTAATCACATTAGCTGGGCACTTAGCTCATGCCTGTAATCCTAGCATTTTGGGAGGCTGAGGCAGGAGGATTGCTTGAGCCCAAGAGTTCAAGCCCAGCCTGATCAACATGGCAAGACCCCATAGCCAGGTGTGGTGGCATGCACTTGTGGTCCCAGCTACTTGGGAGGCTGAGGTGGGAGGATTACTTGAGCTCAGGAGTTTGAGCTGTCACTGTGACACTGCACTGCAGGCTGTGTGAAAGAGTAAGAACTTGTCTCTAAAAAAAAGTTAATAGAGTTAATAGCATTGGATGCTTTCTTCATTGGGTTTCCAACAAAGTCCATTCTTTTGCAGTAGCTGGAGCTCTGGATCACTTCTTTTCTATTCTTGCAGTCATACAGTGCCTGAAACAGCCTCAATGAAAATTAAATTCTTTTTTGTACTAAATGAATTTCAACCAGAGTTCAAAATAAAGATGCAAACAAAGGAACAGGAAAATTAATACCAATGATCTGATTGTAGTTAACAATATAAAAATGATGAGAACTTCGTTGCTATAGAGAAAAGACTTACTTCTTCAGGTGTTTAAAATGAAAATTTTAAAAAGAGTTTTCTTGGCCACTTATGTTGCATACATTTCAGAAAATCAATTTTTTAAATTGGATTTTGAAAAATATTTTCTAACCAAAATATTTCAACTCTTTAGGAATATTTGTGACATTGAGATCTGTATGACATTTCCCATACTCTCCAATAAGTTATGTTTCATGGATACTTCAAGCATTTCATAGGAAAGTGGAAATATAAAGTTTTCTCAAATGGTTCTTAACTAACCCATGAGTAACAGTGTAACAGTGAAATGATTCCATTTTAGAAATATTTTATAAAAATAATCTGTATAAAAATTAAATTATGTATAAATATAATGTCATTTTATATTAAGTACTGTTTTATATTAAGTAAATTTTAAACAGAAAGAGAAAGACCAACTTCATCAAACAAAATTGTTTTCTGACATGCTAAGCATCCTTATGTTTAACTTATGTGAAGAAGCAAATAAAATAGCATTACAGTTTCAGAGATAATATTAATATCCTAATGCTATAATTTTGAGGGTTTGCTAGGTAGGACATAAAGCAATTAATTATAATTTAACTTTCACCCTTAAGTGTAATTATCAAATAGATCTGGAATCAAAGGTGGGATAGTCATTGTTTTGACAAATATAAATATAATTATTTTTATAATTCCATTCTTGCGGGTCTACTTGCTAATGGACATTAGCTTTGAATATATATCAAATGTTTTTAAAAATTTTATTCACTCATTCTTTCATTTATTTCACACATTTTTTTAGTGCCTACGATGTGTGAGACACTGTTCTAGTCACTGGGGACACAATGGTGAACAAAACAGAAAAATAATCCTCACTTACATGAAGCATTCAGTGAGAAAAACAGCTAATAACAAAAGTAAGTTAGAGCATATTAGAAAATGATAATGGCTAGCAAGAAAAATGAAGCAATGAAAATGAATAATAGTTAGGAAGATTGAACACTCTTAAACAGAGTTAAGAACCGTCTGTTAAATAGAGTGACCAGGGAAGGCTCCAATGGGAAGATGACTTCTGAATAGAGATCAAAGCCAGTGAGGAGCTTGCCATACAGGTGTGTGTGGGTGAAGCATCCCAGGCAGAGGGAAGGCCAGATACCAAAGACTGCTCTTTGGTACAGTCATACCTGGTGATTCAAGGGACAATGAGAAGGCCAATGTAGCTACAGTCAACAAAACAAGGGAGAGACTTCAAGAACTCAGGTCATAGAGGTAAGTAACAAGCAGCCAGGCCACATAGGATTTTGTGGCTATTAGAAGGAAGTTTGGCTTTTACTCGGAATGAGATGAAAAGTCATTGGAGGGTTTTCAACAGAGGAGTGACATGATCTGACTTACATTTTAACAGGAACACTGGTTGCTCGGTTGAGAATACACTGTAGGTAACATGGGCAGACAAGGGGAACATATCTACAAGCCTACTCTAATAATTTGGGCAAAAGACAGTGGTGGACTGGACCATGGCAGTACCAATGAGATTGGTGAGAAGTGGCCCAATTATTTTGAAGATGGAAATGACAGCATTTGCTAACAAATCAGCTGTGGGGTGAGACAGAAACAGATGGAAGGAGGTGAAAGGGAGAGAGAGAGAGAGAGAAAGAGAACTACAAGTCAGAATACACCAAGGGCTTTTGTTTGTTTATTCGTTTTACCTGAGTAACTAGATGAATGGAGTTACTATTAACTGAGATTGAGAAGACTGCTGGAGATATGTTTGAGGAGGGTGGTTATCAAGAGATCAGTTTCAGACTTGAAAAATTTGAAATGTATATTATCGATCTAAATGTTGAAGTCAAGCAAACAATTGCATATACAGGTCTGAAATTTAGGGGAGAGGTCCAGGCTACAGATATAAACTTGAGCACTGTCTTCCTCCATTTTGTGCAGTCATAACAGAATACCGCAGACTGGGTAATTTATAAAGAAAATAAATTTATTTTGCTCAAGGTTTTGGAGGCTGTGACATCCAAGATCAAGGAACCACATCTGGTGAGGATCTTCTTGCTGAGTCACAACATAGCAGAAGCCATCACATGACAAGGAAGCATGCAAGAGAGAGCAAGCCATTGAACTCACAGCCTCAAGTCCTTTTATAATGAGCATTAATCCATTCATGAGAGTGGAGCTCTTATGACTTAACCACCTCTCACTGGGCCCCACCTCCCAACACTGTTGCATTGGGGATTAAATTTCCAACACCTGCTTTCTGGAGGGTACATCCAAACCACAGCAGGAGTCATCTGGATATAGATGGTATTTTAGGTTATGAGAGTTGATAAGAAACCAAGTGAGAGTATAGACCACAGAAAACAAAGAGGTGGACACATGATGGGTCCACTTCCAGCAACTTTCTCCCCAGGATCAGAGGGTGCAGCCTGAATGTGAGTACAAAGATTCTCTTTCTGGCTTAGTACAGGAATAGTGGGAGATAAACATCTTTGCTCAACTTCACCATGAAGATAGAAGGAACTGCAACACACATCCAACAAGCTAAGCTTTTCAGCTATGTCTAAAGAGTCTTGCTCCTACCATACTATTCATGAGGGTACTGACAGGACATAACACATTCTAAGCTCCAGTGGGCCACAAAAAGGAGATATAGCAGTCTGTTTTTGAGATTGGAGAAGGACCTTAAAATCTCTGGCAGGATACATTGTTGAGATCTTTCTCCTGTATGAGACCAGTCTGACGAGACTGGGAGAGGTGGTTGTCTTATCTGATGTACATAAATCACCACAGACAGTGAAGGAAAATGAAGACATAGGAAAATATATTTCAAATAAAAGAACAAGGTCAATTTCTAGAAACTGATATGAGTGAAGTGGAGATATGTGATTTACCCAACAGAGAATTCAAAATGATGGTCGTAAAGTTGCTAACCAAGGTCAGGAGAACAATGTAAGAACAAACTGAGAATGTCAATAAAAAGAAAGTTTAAAAACTACCAAATATAAATTATAAAGCAAAAGAATAACATAACTAAACTAAAACATTCAATAGAGGGATTCAACAGCAGACTAGATAAACCAGAAGAAAGGATCAGTGTACTCAAAGACAGATCTCCGGAAATCATACAATCTGAGAAGAAAAAATAAAAGAGAATGAAAAAGAATGGGGATAATTTGATACACTTATGGAACACCATCACATGTAACAACTTATGCATTATCAGTGTACAAGAAGGAGAAAAGAGAAAGATACAAAAAATATATATATAAAAAAATAATGGCAGAAAACTTCCCAAGCCTAGGGAATGAAATAGAAATCCAGATTTACAAAGCCCAAAGGATATTGAATAATAAGATGAACTAAAGAGACCCATGAAACACATCATAATCAAATTGTCCAATGTTAAAGACAGAGTTCTGAAAGCCAACAAAGGAAAAACAAATTGTTACATACATGGGAACCACCATAAAGTTATAAGTAGATTTTTCAGCAGAAACTCTGCAGACCAGAAGGGAGTGGAATGATATACTCAAAATTCCAGTCAACGTGAGAAAGCCAATTTTTAAAATCCTGAAATAAAACAATTGTCAGCCAAGGATATTATACTCCACAACACTGTCTTTCATAAATGAAGAGGCGGTAAGGATTTTCTAAGACAAACAAAAGTAGTTTATCACCACTATACCTGCCTTATAAGAAATGCTAAAAGGAGTTCTTCAAGCTGAAGAAAAAAATGCTGATTAGTAACATGAAAACACATGAGAATATAAAATTCACGGGTAAAAGTAAATATATTGTCAAATTCAAAACACTCTAATACTCTAACAATAAACCAATTATATATATAGTGTAAAGGTTAAAAAGCAAAATCACTATAACAACTAGAGCTACGATAACTTCTTAAGAATAAATATTATTTTTAAAATGTAAATTTTGACATCAGCTCACATTTTATGTGGGAGGAGGGGGAGTAGAAGCGTAGAGTTTGTTGTATGATTAAAGTGTTATTGGAAAAAATGGCTGATAGGAGACAGGACTAATGTGCAACTCCCATTTGGACAGACAGAACAGTGTGTGGAGACTCACATTGTGAACTTTTGCTCCAAGAACCATTGCAGGAACATATCAGGAAAACTGAAAGAATTCACAGACCTTTTGAAAGAGGCAGCTTGCCGCTGCAAACTCCATGAGCCAGCCAAAGAACTATGAGTTTTCAAAGTGTAAGAAGGGGAAAAGTGCCTCTGAACACACATCCCCACTGGGGAACCTGAAAAGTCAGATCACAGGAGAAGGATTTAAACTTACCTAAAGCAGAAACAGATATAGGGAGCTGAGTGAAATATAAAAGTAGAAGAGGCAGTGGGAAGAGCCCTGTAGGCACTCTTGGTCCCCAACTTGAGCCCAGGGAAGCTATTCCTGGCCTTATCTCACAAGGGTTCTTGGGGAAGGCAGCCAGTGGAATTGGGGAGGTGACACAGAGTAAAGGAAGTTCCTAGCCAAACTTTGTAATAATTTTGAGCACAAATTTTCCTGAGTAGCATCCCGGGTGAGGGATGGTGAATGGGAGTGCAGAAGCTGCAGCTGAAGGTGCAGCAGGTGGGGAGGATCAAGGCCTGAGAGCCCTGCTGGTTTTCTCAGCAGGGAGGCTGGTAGCCTGGGGCAAGATCTCCATCTTGCTCCCAGCTGTCCGAATATACATTCAGTGCTGTTGGTAGGAAATAGAAGGAGTGAGACTGGCTTTGCTGGCTACATGGGAGCTGGGTGAGGCCTGTCACTGCCAGCTTTCCCCCACTTCCATGGTGACCAAATCATGGCAGCAGAGGTAGCCATAATCCCCCTGGGAACATAACTCCATTGGCCTTAGAACCACCCCGTCATCCCCTACGGTGGCTGCAGCAAACCCCACCCAAGGATAGTCTGAACTCAGACCCACCTAACCGTGCCCCCACCTGATGGTTTTTCTCTACCTGCCGTGGTAGCCAAAGACAAAAACGTAAACTCTTGAAAGCTCTATGGCCCCACCTGCCACCTGAGAAACCCAAGTATTCATCCTGGTCAATGAAGGGCAAGCTTATATTCCCCTTCTACTACTGCAACTGGTGCACTCTTAAAAGCACCACCACAGGCAAAGCATGGTGGCTCACTCCTGTAATCCCAGCACTTTGGGAGGCCACGGTGGGCAGATGGCTTGAGGTCAGAAGTTTGAGACCAGCCTGGCCAACATGGTGAAACTCCATCTCTACTAAAAATACAAAAATTAGCTGGGTGTGGTGGAGCACACCTGTAATCCCAGCTACTCAGGAGGCTGAGGCAGGAGAA
Organism: Homo sapiens; assembly: GCF_000001405.40. Classification (NCBI taxonomy): domain Eukaryota; kingdom Metazoa; phylum Chordata; class Mammalia; order Primates; family Hominidae; genus Homo; species Homo sapiens. The sequence goes on from NC_000001.11 coordinate 231,446,097, forward strand.
TCGCTTGAACCTGGAAGGTGGTGGTTGCAGTGAGCCGAGATTGCATCACTGTACTCTAGCATGGGCGATAGAGTAAATGAGACTCCATCTCAAAAAAAAAAAAAAAAAACAAGTGCCACCTCCTGGCTAGAGGCCAACCAACTCAAGCCATTACAGCAACTCGTAACAGAACAACCCTGCTCCAAAGAAGGGAAAAACAACAGCTAATTCCACCACCTGCAAGACGCTGGCTAACGAGAGGTCTGGAGTCTGTCCACATGACAACTTTACTGCTAGCAAAACCAGCATTTGAGAAAAGTAGCACACTAAACAAAACTATTACCAAGAACTCCCACAGAATCCACTTCACTCCCCTGCCACCTCCACTGGAGCAGGTGCTAGTATCCATGGCTGGGAGACCTGAAGACGGATCACATCACAGGACTCTGCAGACATCCCCAGCACCAGCCCACTGTAGCCGCATTGGGTGGCTAGACCCAGAAGGACATTGATAAAAATCACTGCAGTCTGGCTCTCAGGAAGCCCCATCCCTAGGGAAGGGAGAGAGCACCACATCAAGGGATCACCCCATGGCACAAAAGAATCTGAACAGCAGCCCTTGAGTTCCAGATCTTTCCACTGAAACAGACTACCCAAATGAGAAGGAACCAAAAAATTCTGGTAATATGACAAAACAGGGTTCTATAATGCTCCCAGAAGATCACACTAGCTTTCTAGCAACGGATCCAAACCAAGAAGAAATCTCTGAATTGCCAGATAAAGAGTTCAGAACATTATTAAGCTACTCAGGGAAGTACCAGAGAAAGGTGAATAACAACTTAAAAAAATTAAAAAAAAAAAAAAGGATATAGAGGAAAAAGTCCCTAGAGAAAGAGATAGCATAAACTAAAAAAAATCACAACTTTTGGAAATGAAAGACACACTCAGAGAAATGCAAAATACACTGGAATAATTCAATAATAGCATCAAACAAGTAGAAGAAAGAACTTCAGAGCTCGAAGACAAGGCTTTCGAATTAACCCAATTCAACAAAGACAAAGAAAAAAGAATTTAAAAAAATGAACAAAGATGCCAAGACATTTGGGATTATGTTAAATGACCAAATCTAAGAATAATTGGTGTTTCTGAGAAAGAGAAATCTAAAAGTTTGAAAAAATGTATTTGAGGGAATAATAGAGGCAAACTTCCTTGGTCTTGCTAGAGATAAAGAAATCCAAATACAAGAAGCTCAAAGAACACCCGGGAATTCATTGCAAAAAGATCATCAACTAGGCACACAGTCATCAGGTTATCTAAAGTTAAGATGAAGGAAAGGATCTTAAAAGCTATGAGGCAAAAGCATCAGATAACCTACAAAGGAAAACCTATCAGATTAACAGAAGATTTCTCAGTAGAAACCCTGCCAACCAGAAGGAATTAGGGTCCTATCTTTAGCCTCCTTAGGCAAAATAATTATCAATCAAAATTTTGTATCATGGAAACAAAGTTTCATAAATGAAGGAGAGATAAAATATTTTTCACACAAATAAATGCTAAGATAATTCACTACTAGCAAACCAGCACTAAAATGTGAAAAGGAGTTCTAAATCCTGTTTTTTTTTTGGAGACGGAGTCTTGCTCTGTCACCCAGGCTGGCGTGCAGTGGGGTGATCTCGGCTCACTGCAACCTCCGCCTCCTGGGTTCAAGTGATTCTCCTGTCTCAGCCTCCTGAGTAGCTAGGACCACAGGTGCGTGCCACCACGCCTGGCTAATTTTTTGTATTTTTAGTAGAGACGGGGTTTCACCTGTTAGCCAGAATGGTCTCGATCTCCTGACCTCATGATCCACCTGCTTCAGCCTCCCAAAGTGCTGGGATTAGAGATGTGAGCCACTGTGCCCAGCTGGAGTTCTAAATCTTAAAACAAAACCTCAAAATACACCAAAATAGAACCTCCTTAAAGCATAAATCTAACAGGGCTTGTAAAACAATAACACAGGCTAGGGCTGGGCACAGTGGCTCATGCCTATAATCCCAGCAATTTGGGAGGCCTAGGCGGGTGGATCACCTGAGGTCAGGAGTTCGAGATTAACCTGGCCAACATGGTGAAAGCCTGTCTCTACTAAAAATACAAAATTAGCCAGGTGTGGTGGCGCATAACTGTAATCTCAGCTACTTGGGAGGCTGAGGCAGGAGAATCCCTTGAACCCGGGAGGCAGAGGTTGTGGTGAGCCGAGATTGCACCATTGCACTCCAACCTGGGCAACAAGAGCAAAACTCTGTCTCAAAAAATAAAAATAAAAATAACACAGTCTGGGTGTGGTGGCTCATGCCTATAATCCCAGCACTTTGAGAGGCAAAGGTGGATAGATGGCTTGAAGCCAGGAGTTCAAGACCAGCCTGGCCAACATGATAAAACCCTGTCTCTACTAAAAATACAAAAATTAGCCAGATGTGGTGGTGCATGCCTCTAGTCCCAGCTACACTGGAGGCTGAGGCACAAGAATTACTTGAACCCAAAAGGCGGAGGCTGCACTGAGCTGAGATCGTGCCACTGCGCTCCAGCCTTGGTGACAAAGCAAGACTCTGTCTCTAAATAAACAAATAAATAACACAAAGAAAAACAACAACAACAAGGTATTCAGGCAACAACCAGCATGATGAATAGAATAGTACCTCACATCTCAATATTAATATTGAATGTAGATGGCCTAAATGCTCCACTTAAAAGATACAGAATGGCAGAATGGATAAAAATCCACCAACCAAGTACCTGCTGTCTTCTAGAGACTCACCTACCACATAAGGACTCACATAAACTTAAGGTAAAGTGTGGAAAAAAGATACTCCATGTAAATAGAACCCAAAGTTAGCAGGAGTAGCTATTCTTATATGAGACAAAACAGACTTTAAAGCAATAACTGTTAAAAAAATACAAACAGAGACATTATATAATGATGAAAGGCTTTGTCCAATAGGAAAATACCACAATCCTAAATATATATGCACCTAACACTAGAGCTCCCAAATTTGTAAAACAATTATTACTAGACCTAAGAAATGAGATAGACAGCAACACAATAATAGTGGGGGACTTTAATACTCTGCTGACAGCACTAGACAGGTCATTAAGACAGAAAGTCAACAAAGAAACAATGGACTTAAATCATACCTTAGAACAAATGGTCCTAACAGATATTTACAGAACATTCTACCTAACAATTGTAGAACATACATTCTTTTCATCAGCATATGTAACCTTCTGCAAGACAGATGATATACTAGGCCTTAAAACAAGTCTCAGTAAATTCAAGAATATCAAAATTACATCAAATACTCTCTCAGACCACAGTGAAATAAAATTGGAAATTAACTCCAAAAGGGAACCACAGAACTATGCAAATGCATGGACACTAAATAATTTGCTCCTGAATGATCTTTGGGTCAACAATGAAATCAAGATGAAAATTTAAAAATTCTGTGAACCAAATGATAATAGTGACACAACCTATCAAAACTTCTGAGACACAGCAAAAGTGGTGCTAAGAGGAAGGTTCATAGTATTAAATGCCTAGATCAAAAAGTCTTAAAGAGCACAAACAGACAATCTCAGGTCAAACCTCAAGGAACTAGAGAAACAAGAACAAATCAAACCCAAATCCAGCAGAAGAAAAGAAATAACAAACATCAGAGCAAAACTAAATGAAATGAAAACAGAAAAACAATACAAAAGATACATGAAACAAAAAGGTGGTTTGAAATGATAAACAAAATCAATACACAACTAGCTAGATTAACCAGGAAAAGAGAGAAGATCCAGATAAGCTTAATTAGAAATAAAATGGGAGTTATTATAACTGATACCACAGAAACAAAAAAGATCATTCAAGGCTACAATGTACACCTTTATGCACACGCACTAGAAAACGTAGAGGAGATAGATAAATTCTTGGAAATATACAACCCTCCTAGATTAAACCAGGAAGAAATAGAAACTCTGAACAGACCAATAACAAGTAGTGAGATTGAAATAGTAATAAAAAAATAATTCCCAACAAAACAAAGTCTAAGACCAGGCATATTTACAGCTGAATTCTATAAGACATTCAAAGAAGAATTAAGACCAATCTTACTGAAACTATTCCAAAAAATAGCGAAAGAGGGGATTCTCCCTAAATCATTCTATGAAGCCAGTATCACCCTAATACCAAAATCAGGAAAGGACATAACCAAAAAAGAAAACTACAGACCAATATCCCTGATGAACGTGGATACAAAAATCCTCAACAAAATACTGGCTAACCAAATCCAACAGCATATCAAAAACATAATCCACCATGATCAAGTAGGTTTGATACAGGGATGCAGGGTTGGTTTAACATACACAAGTCAATAAATGTGATACACTACATGAAAAGAATTAAAAACAAAAATCACATGATCATGTCAATAGATGCATAAAAAGCATTTGACAAAATCCAGCATCCCTTTGTGATTAAAACCCTCAGCAAAATCAGCATAGAAGGGACATACCTTAAGGTAATAAAAACCATCTATGACAAACCCACAGCCAACATTATACTGAATAGGGAAAAGTTGAAAGCATTCCCCCTGAGAACTGGAACAAGACAAGGATGCCCACTTTTGCCACTTCTGTTCAACACAGTACTGGAAGTCCTAGCCAGAGCAATCAGACAAAAGAGAGAAAGAGCATCCAAATCGGTAAAAAGTAAGTCAAACGGTTGCTGTTTGGTGTTGCTATCATTGTATACCTAGCAAACCCTAGACTCATCCAAAAAAATCTCCTAGATCTGATAAATAAATTCAGTAGTTTCAGGATACAAAATCAATGTACACAAATCAGTAGCACTGCTATACACCAACAGTGACCAAGTGGAGAATCAAATAAAAAACTCAACTCCTTTTACAACAGTTGCAAAAAAATTAAAATACTTAGGAATATACCTAAACAAGGAGGTGAAAGATCTCTACAAAGAAAACTACAAAACACTGCTGAAAGAAATCATGGACAATGCAAACAAATGGAAACACATCTCATACTCATAGATGGGTAGAATTAATATTGTCAAAATGACCATACTGCCAAAAGCAATCTATAGATTCATTGCAATTCCCATTAAAATACAATTACCATTCTTCACAAAACTAGAAAAAAATCCTAAAATTTATATGGAACAAAAAAAGAGCCTGCATAGCCAAAGCAAGACTAAGCAAAAAGAAAAAATCTGGAGGCATCACACTACCCAACTTCAAACTACACTACAAGCCTATAGTTACCAAAACAGCATGGTACTGGTATAAAAACAGGCACATAGACAATTGGAACAGAATAGAGAAACCAGAAATAAAGCCAAATACTTACAGCCAACTGTTCTTTGACAAAGCAAACAAAAAGAAAGGACACCCTCTTCAACAAATGGTGCTGGGATAATTGGCAAGCCCTATGTAGAAAATGAAACTGGATCCTCTTCTCTCACCTTATACAAAAATCAACTCAAGATGGATCAAAGACTTAAATCTTTTATGGCCTGAAACCATAAAAAAAATCTAGAAGATAACATTGGAAGAACTCTTCTAGACATTGGCTTAGGCAAAGAGTTCATGACCAGGAACCCAAAAGCAAATGCAACAAGGATAAATAGATGGGACTTAATTAAACTAAAAAGCTTCTGTACAGCAAAAGAAATAATCAGCAGATTAAACAGACAACCCACAGAGTGGGAGAAAATCTTCACAATCTATACATCCGACAAAGAACTAATATCCAGAATCTGCAAGGAACTCAAACAAATCAGCAAGAATAAAACAAAACAATCCAATAAAGAAGTGGGCTACGGACAAGAATAGACAATTCTCAAAAGAAGATATACAAATGGTCAATAAACATATGAAAAAATGCTCAACATCACTAATTATAATGGAAATGCAAATCAAAACCACAATGCAATACCACTTTACTCTGCAAGAATGGTCATAATTAAAATATCAAAAAATAATAGATGTTGGTGTAGATGTGGTAAAAAGGGAACACTTTTACACTGCTGGTGGGAATTTAAACTAGCACAACCACTATGGAAAAGAGTATGAAGATTTCTTAAAGAACGAAAAGTAGAACTACCATTTGATCCAGCAATCCCACTACTGGGTATCTACCCAGAGGAAAGGAAGTCATTATATGAAAAAGACACTTGCATATGCATGTTTATAGCAGCACAATTCACAACTGCAAAAATATGGAACCAGCCTAAGTACCCATCAATCAACAAGTGGATAAAGAAAATGTAGTGTGTGTGTGTGTGTGTGTGTGTGTGTGTGTGTGTGTGTGTGTGTAAAGTTGAAAGCATAAAGCATTCCCCTTGAGAACTGGAACAAGACAAGGATGTCCACTTTTGCCACTTCTATTCAACATAGTACTGGAAGTCCTAGCCAGAGCATTCCCCCATATAAGTCATAGAGTGGCTCAATGGAAAAAAAGGCTCAACTACACGCTGCCTACAAGAGACTCATTTTACCTTAAAGGACACCCATAAACTGCATGTGAAGGATTTAAAAAAAAAAAAGATATTCCATGAAAATGAAAACAAAAAGAGAGCAAAGGTAGCTATATTTCAGTCTAAATATATTTTAGGCCAAAAATGGTAAAAAGAGACAAAGAAGGGCCGGGCACGGTGGCTCACGCCCATAATCCCAGCACTTTGGGAGGCCAAGGCAGGCGGATCACAAGGTCAAGAGATTGAGACCATCCTGGCCAACATGATAAAACCCTGTCTCTACTAAAAATACAAAAATTAGCTGGGCGTGGTGGCACGCATCTGTAGTCCCAGCTACTCAGGTGGCTGAGGCAGGAGAATCGCTTGAACCTGGGAGGTGGAGGTTGCAGTGAGCCAAGATTATGCCACTGCACTCCAACCTGGCAACAGAGCGAGACTCCATCTCAAAAAAAGGAGACAAAGAAAGATATTATATAGTGATAAATGGGTCAATTCATCAAGAGGATACAAAAATTATAATATATATTTGCACCTAACATCAGAACACCTAAATATATAAAGCAAACATTAAGAGAATGAAAGGGAGATATAGACTGCAAAACAAACACAGTAGGGGATTTTAATATCTCACTTTCAATAGTGGACAGATCACCCAGACAGACAATAAATAAGAAAACATTGGCCTTCAACTACACTTTAGACCAAATGGACCTGACAGGCATATACAGAATATTCCACACAACAGCAAAAGAGAAAACAGTTTTTTTCAAGTGCACACAGAACATTCTCTGGGGTAGATCATATGTTAGGTCACAAAACAAATCTTAACACATCTAAGAACATCTAAATTATATCAAGTATCTTTTCTGACTGTAATGATACGAAACTAGAAATCAGTAATAGGAGGAATCAGAAAAAATGAACAAGTGTATGAAAATTAAATATGGCTCTCCCTCTCCCTCTCCCCCTCCCCCTCCCCCTCCCTCTCCCACTTTCCACGGTCTCCCTCTAATGCGGAGCCGAGGCTGGACTGTACTGCCGCCATCTCGGCTCACTGCAACCTCCCTGCCTGATTCTCCTGCCTCAGCCTGCCGAGTGCCTGGGATTGCAGGTGCGCACCGCCATGCCTGACTAGTTTTTGTATTTTTTGGTGGAGACGGGGTCTCGCCGTGTTGGCCAGGCTGGTCTCCACCTCCTGACCGCGAGTGATCTTCCCGCCTCGGCCTCCTGAGGTGCCGGGATTGCAGACGGAGTCTCGCTCACTCAGTGCTCAATGTTGCCCAGGCTGGAGTGCAGTGGCGTGATCTCGGCTCGCTACAACCTCCACCTCCCAGCTGCCTGCCTTGGCCTCCCAAAGTGCCGAAATTGCAGCCTCTGCCCGGCCGCCACCCCGTCTGGGAAGTGAGGAGCGTCTCTGCCTGGCCGCCCATCGTCTGGGATGTGAGGAGCCCCTCTGCCCAGCCACCCAGTCTGGGAAGTGAGGAGCGCCTCTTCCCGGCTGCCATCCCGTCTAGGAAGTGAGGAGCGTCTCTGCCGGCCGCCCATTGTCTGAGATGTGGGGAGCACCTCTGCCCCGCCGCCCTGTCTGGGATGTGAGGCGCGCCTCTGCCCGGCCACGACCCCGTCTGGGAACTGAGGAGTGTCTCTGCCCGACCGCCACCCCGTATGGGAGGTGAGGAGCGTCTCTGCCCGGCTGCCCCGTCTGAGAAGTGAGGAGCCCCACCGCCCGGCAGCTGCCCCGTCTGGGAAGTGAGGAGCATCTCTGCCCAGCAGCCGCCCCGTCCAGGAGGTGGGGGGCGCCTCCGCCCGGCCAGCCGCCCCGTCTGGGAGGTCTGGGGGCCCCTCTGCCCGGCCGCCCCGTCTGGGAAGTGAGAAGCCCCTCTGCCCGGCTGCCACCCCGTCTGGAAGGTGTACCCAACAGCTCATTGAGAACGGGCCATGATGACGATGGCGGTTTTGTCGAATAGAAAAGGGGGAAATGTGGGGAAAAGAAAGAGAGATCAGATTGTTACTGTGTCTGTGTAGAAAGAAGTAGACACAGGAGACTCCATTTTGTTCTGTACTAAGAAAAATTCTTCTGCCTTGGGATGCTGTTAATCTGTGACCTTACCCCCAACCCCGTGCTCTCTGAAACATGTGCTGTGTCCACTCAGGGTTAAATGGATTAAGGGCGGTGCAAGATGTGCTTTGTGAAACAGATGCTTGAAGGCAGCATGCTCGTTAAGAGTCATCACCACTCCCTAATCTCAAGTACCCAGGGACACAAACACTGCGGAAGGCCGCAGGGTCCTCTGCCTAGGAAAACCAGAGACCCTTGTTCACATGTTTATCTGCTGACCTTCCCTCCACTGTTGTCCTATGACCCTGCCAAATCCCCCTCTCCGAGAAACACCCAAGAATGATCAATAAATACTAAAAAAAAAAAAAAAAAAAAAAGAAAATTAAACAATATGCTCTTGAATGACTGTTAGGAAGTAAAAAAAATCACAAGACAAATGAAAATGGAAATACAACATACCAAAACTTATGGGGTGTGGTAAAAGCAGTTCTAAGAGGGATGTTTATAACAATAAATGCATATATGGAAAAAGAATAAAGATAGCAAGTAAACAACCTAATATTATACTTCCAGGAATTAGAAAAATAACTAACTAAGCCAAAAGTTAGCAGAAGGAGGGAAATAACAAAGATCAGAGCAGAAATAAATGAAGTATAGACTGAGAAAACAATAGAAAAAAAAATCAACAAAACTAAGGGCTCACTTTTTGAAATCCTAATAAAACTGACAAATCCTTAGCTAGATTAACCAAGAAAAAAGAAGAATGATTCAAATAAACAAAATCGGAAATAAAAGAGGAGGCATTAGAACTGTTAACATAGAAATATAAAGGTTCATAAGAGACTACTGTGAACAACTATATGCCAACAAAATGGACAGTCTAAAAGAATGTATAAACTCCTGGAAACATAAAACCTACCTAGATCGAATCATGAAGAAATTGGAAATCTGGGCCAGGCGCTGTGGCTCACACCTGTAATCCCAGCACTTTGGGAAGTCGAGGTGGGCAGATCACTTGAGGTCAGGAGTTCGAGACCAGCCTGGCCAACATGGTGAAACCCTGTCTCTACTAAAAACACAAAAATTAGCTAGGCATGGTGGCATGCACCTCTAGTCCTAGCTACTCAAAAGGCTGCAGCAGGAGAATCGCTTGAACCTGGGAGGCGGAGGTTGCAGTAATCCGAGATCACACCACTGTACTCCAGCCTGAATGACAGAGCGAGACTCCATCTCAAAAAAAAAAAAAAAGAAATTGGAAATCTGAACAAACCAATGAGTAAGGAGATAGAATTAGTAATTAAAAGTCTCCCATTAAAGAAAAACCCATGACGGGATAGCTTCAAGGCTGAATTCTACCAGGCATTTAAAGAAGAATAGCAATTCTTCTCAAATTCTTCCAGAGAGCTGAAGAGTAAGGAATACTTCCAAATTCATTTTATGAGGCCAGCTTTAACCTAATGCCAAAGCCAGACAAAGAGACTATGAGAAAATAAAACTACAGGCCAATATCAATGATAAACATAGATAGAAAAATTATCAACAACATAACAGCAAACCATATTCCCCAGTACACTGAAAGGATCATTCACAATGATCAAGGGGGATTTATCCCTGGCATTCAGGTTTGGTTCAACAAATGCAAATCAATAAAAGTGATTCACCATATTAACAGAATGAAGGATAAAAACCATATGACAATCTCAATAGATGCAGAAAAAGCATCTGGTCAGGCATGGTGGCTCATACCTGTAATCCCAAAACATTGGAAGACCAAGGTGGGAGGAGCACTTGAGCCCAGGTGTTCTAGACCAGCCTAAGCAACGTGGTGAGACCCTGTCTGTACAAAAAATAAAAAAGTTAGCAGGGCATAGTGGCACATGCTTGTAGTCCCGTTTGAGAGGCTGTGGTGGGAGGACTGCTTGAGCCTGGGAGGTCAAGGCTATAATGAGCTGTGATCATGCCAATGCACTCCAACCTGGTTGACAGAGTGAGACCCTGTCTCAAAAAAAAAGAAAAAGCATCTGACAAAATTCAACATCCTTTTGTCATAAAAATTCTCAACAAATTAGGTACAGAAGAAATGGCCCTCAGTAAAATAGAGGCCATATATAACAAGCCACATGTGACAAGCCCGCAGCTAACATAATACTCATTGGTGAAAAATTGTAAGTCTTTCCTCTAATATCAGGAACCAGAAAAGCATGCTCACTCTCACCACTTCTGTTCAACATATTGTTGGAAGTCCTAGCCAGAGCAACTAGGCAAGAAAAATAAAAGAGATCAAAATAGGAAAGGAAGCAAAAAAAAAAAAAAAAAGAAGGAAGCAAAATTATGTCTGTTTGCTGCAACAACAATCCTATATATAGAAAATCCTAGATGCCACAAAAAAACTGAGACTAATAAAAAAATGTAATAAGTTTGCAAGATTCAAAATCAACTTACAAAAAGCAACAGTGTTTCTATGTACTTACAACGAACTGAAAAAGAAACTAAGAAAACATTCCTATTTACAAGAGCATCAAAAATTAACATAAGGCCAGGCATGGTGGCTCATGCCTGTAATCCCAGCCCTTTAGGAGACTGAGGTAGGCAGATCACTTGAAGTCAGGAGTTTGAGACCAGCCTGGTGAACATGGCAAATTCCTAATCTTTATTAAAAATACAAAAATTAGCTGGGCCTGGTGGCATGTGTCTATAGTCCCAGCTACTCAGGAGGCTGAGACATGAGAATTGCCTGAACCCAGGAGGCAGAGGTTGCAGTGAGCCAAGATTTGAGTCACTACACTCCAGCCTGGGTGACAGAGTGAGACTCTGTCTCAAACAAACAAACAAAAAAACCATTAAAATTAAATACTTAAGAGTAAACTGGGCTGGGCATGGTGGCTCCCGCCTATAATCCCAGCACTTTGGGAGGCCGAGGTGGGCGGATCACGAGGTCAGGAGATTGAGACCATCCTGGCCAACATGGTGAAACCTGGTCTCTACTAAAAATACAAAAATTAGCTGGGCATGGTGTTGCACACCTGTAGTCCTAGCTACTGGGGAGGCTGAGGCAGGAGAATCATTTGAACCCGAGAGGCGGAGGTTGCAGTGAGCTGAGATCACGCCACTGCACTCCAGCCCAGTGACAGAGCAAGACTCTGTCTCAAAAAAAAAAAAAGAGTAAACTGAGTAAACTGAACCAAGGAAGTGAAAGATCCGTGTGCTGAAAACTACAAAACATTGATGAAAGAAATTGAAGTAGACACAAATAAATGAAGATATTCTATGTTCATGAATTGGAAGAATTAATTTTGTGAAAATGTCCATACTACCCAAAGTGATCTACAGATTCAATGCAATCTCTGTCAAAATTCCAATGTCATTCTTCACAGAAATAGAAAAAATATTCCTAAAATGCATATGTACTCACAAAAGACTCTGAATAGTCAAAGCAATCTTGACCAAAAAGAACAAAGCTGAAGGCATCACACTACTGGATTTCAAAATATATTACAAAGCTATAGTAATCAAAACAGCATGGTACTGGTATGAAAACAGACACATATGTCAGGTGTGGTGGCTCATGCCTACAACCCCAGCACTTTGTGAGGCCAAGGCAGGCAGATCACTTGAGGTCAGGAGTTTGAGACCAGCCTGGCCAACATGGTGAAACCCTGCCTCTGCTAAATATATATATATATATACATTAGCTGGGTGTGGTGGTGCTCGCCTGTAATCCCAGCTAAGGCTGAGGCAGGAGAATTGCCTGGACCCAGGAGGTGGAGGTTGCAGTGAGCCAAGATGGCACCACTGCACTCCAGCTTGGGCGACAGAGTGAAACTCCATCTCAAAAAAACAAAAAAAAACCAACAAACAAAAAAACCAAGCACATTGACTGATGGAATAGAATACGGAGCTTAGAAATAAACCCACACATCTATGTTCAACTGATTTTTTTGACAAAGGTGCTAAGAACACACAATAGGGGAAAGACAGTCTTTTCAATAAATGGTGTTGAGAAAACTGGATATCCACATATAGAAGAATGAATATGTACCTTTATCCTTTATACAAGAACCAACTCAAAATGGATTAAAGACTTAAAAATAAGAGGTAGGACACAGTGGCTCATGCCTGTAATTCTAGCACTTTGGGAGGCTGAGGCAGGAGGGTCACTTGAGGTCAGGAGCTTGAGACTAGTCAGGCCAACATGGTGAAATCTCATCTCTATTAAAAATACAAAAATTAGCCGTGCATGGTGGCACATGCCTGTATTCCCAGCTACTTGAGAGGCTGAGGAAGGAGAATTGCTTAAACTCGGGAGGCAGAGGTTTCAGTAAGCTGAGATGGTGCCATTACACTCCAGAGTGAGACTCTGTCTCAAAACAAAACAAAACAAAACAAAACAAAACAAAACAAAACAAAACAAAAGACTTAGAAAACATGAGGCCTGAAACCATAAAACTACTAGAAGAAAACATAGAGGAAACGCTTCATGACATTGGTCTGGAAAGAGGGATCTTGCGTATGACCCTACAAACACAGGCAACAAAATAGACAAGTGGGATTGCTTACAACTAAAAAGTCTCTGCACAGCAAAGAAAACGATTTAGAGTAAAGAGAGAATTCACAGATTGGGAGAAAACTATTTTCAAATAATACATCAGATAAAGGTCTAATATGCAAAATATACAAGAAACATAAGTTACTCAGTAACGAAAAACAAATAATGCAATTAACACATGGGCAAATAGTTGAATATACATTCCTCAACAGAAGACACACCTATGGCCAACAGATATATCAAAAAATGCTCAACATCTCTTATCACTGGAGAAATGCAAATTAAAGCCAGAGTGAGGCCAGGTGCAGTGGCTCATTCCTGTAATCCCAGCACTATGGGAGGCTGAGGTGGAAGGATCTCTTGAGCCCAGGAGTTCAAGACCAGCCTGGGCAACATAACGAGAACCTGTCTCTACATAAAATAAAATAAATAAAATAAAATAAAATAAAATAAATAAAATAAAATAAAATAAATAAAATAGATGAAAGATAACAAGTGTTGGCAAGGATGTGGAGAAAAGGGAATCTTTGTACACTGTTGATGGGAATATAAATCAGGACAGCCATTTTGGAAAACAGTATGAAACTTCCTTGAAAAATCTCAGAACTACTATATGATCCAGCAGTCTCACTACTGTGTATATACCCAGAGGAACTTAAATCAGTATGTTAAAGAGATGCCTGCACTCTCATGATCTATATATGAGCTACATACGAGCATTATATAGCTATATTAACAGTCACTAAGATATAGAAATATCCTAAGTGTACATCAATGGATGAATACATTTTTTAAATGTGGTATATATACACAATGGAATTCTATTCAGCCATTAAAAAAAAACAGGAAATTCTGTTGTTTGAGACAGCATGGATAAACCAAAAGCATATTATGTTACATAAAATAATCCAGACACAGACAGACAAATACCTTATGGTCTCACTTATATATGGAATCTAAAAAAGCTAAACTCATGGAAGTACAGAGTAGAATGGTGGCTACCAGAAGCTGCAGAAAATGGGGCAGGGGGAATGAATGGGGAAAGGGGAAACGTTGGTCAAATCAGTATAACGTAATCCAGTTAGATAGGAGGAATACATTGTGGTGTTCTGCACAGCATGACTACAGTTAATAATAATGTACTGTACATTTTAAAACAGCTACAAGAGAGGAGTTTAAATGTTCTCACCACAAAAAAAGGATAAATATTTGAGGTGATGGATATGCAAATTTGCCTGATCTGATCATTCCACAATAAATACACTTATCAAAATGTCATATTGTACCCCACAAATAGATAAAATTAGATTCTGTCAATTAAGAATAAAATAAACTTTTAAAAAAGAGAGAGACAGAAAGGAGAGAATTGGAGACAATGAGTATAGGATTTTTACTCAAGAGGACAGAAATAGGACAATAACTGAAGGGGTAGTGGAGTGGAGCCAGGGATTGCTTGGAAGATGGGAGAAAAAACATGTTTGTCTGCTGATAGGGAGTCCTCATAAAAAGAATACCCAATCGTGACTTGTGAATTTCCTTGAAGTGTTAGAATAACAGAAGAGGCAGGGGAAGGGAGTTAAAATGCAAGTCATTTCTTGAGGGTAGCCGCAATTTGTGCTGCAAAGGAACTGTGGTTGTGGTTGTGGTTGGTGATTGAGATTTCCCTTACAGTTAATCACAAGTCATTTGTTAAAGAGCCTCAGTACACCATGTAATGTTTAATCTGCAGCCATTTCTTTTGTAGCTATATCTAACACAAAGCAGAGATGCTTGCATTTTGCCTACCATGGAGCTGTGTACATTCCCAAGGTGGGTGATATGTATGTGTGTGTTTATATAGATATATATTTTTTACATAAATATTTTTATATAGTGTGAGTATATGTATATAGGCATACCTCAGAGATATTGCAGGTTCAGTTCCATACCACTACAATAAAGTGAATATCACAATATAGCAAGTCACACAATTTTTTTTGTTTTCCAGTGCATATAAAAGTTATATTTGGCCAAGCACAGTGGCTCATGCCTGTAATCCCAGCACTTTGGGAGGCCGAGGCGGGCGGATCACAAGGTCAGAAGATCAAGACCATCCTGGCTACGGTGAAACCCCATCTCTACTAAAAATAAAAAAAATTAGCTGGGCGTGGTGGCAGGCGCCTGTAGTCCCAGCTACTCAGGAGGCTGAGGCAGGAGAATGACATGAACCCGGGAGGCGGAGCTTGCAGTGATCCGAGATGGTGCCACTGCACTCCAGCCTGGGCGACAGTACGAGACTCCATCACCAAAAAAAAAAAAAAAGTTATATTTACACTATATTGTAGTCTTTTAAAGGCACAATAGCATTATGTCCTTAAGAATGTACATGCCTTAATTTTAAAATGCCTTATTGTTGAAAATGCTGATGATCACCTGAGACTTCAGTATATATGTAGATAGTTGAAAACCCACAATTCCTTTCAGCTCTAATAATCCTTGAGCTCATCACACCACATAAAACATGTAGATTTCTTATTAAAGTGACAGATTGGAAAATACACAATATGCAGGAAAGGGATAAAAAAAATGGTATCAAAGAAGTAGGCAAGGGCCAGAACATGTGAGGCTAACAAGTGATCACAGTACGTGTCATATAAGAAGTGCTACAATGATGTGTGTATATAGTTCTAGGGGCTTTGAGAAGAGTCACGTACATTCCACTTTGCAATGGTGCAGGGTGGTAGCAATGGCTGGTAACAAGTGATCAAAGGGGGCTCCAGATTAAAGGGGGCTCCAGGAGGTAGCAATGGCTGGTAACAAGTGATGAAAAGGGCCCTAGAAGGTCCAAAAGGTCAAATCTATTCAGGAGAGAGTCTTGAAGAACAGTCAGGCACTAGTCAGGCTACCAAGAGTTCAACCCATGTCTAGTTCTTTCTATTGCCTTCCTCTCCTTCTCCTCGATACTCCGTAGGTCAGGCCACTCATACGTGGATCACTGGAGCTTTTTTCTTCAGTGTTTCAAACATGCTGCTTGGTCTGACATACAACTGACCTTCCCCATCTCTCTCTAGACTATTGTGGCTATCTCCTGAATGGTCTTCCTGCTTTCAATATCTATCTCCCACTTGCTTTTTAAAATTCTGTTTGTTTTTAAACTGCAATGTTAAAGGCTCAAATCAATCTCCCACTTTAAATCCACCATTCAAAACTACCATTTCAGAATTCTCCTTTCTCAACGCAGAAATTGTACACTGCCCCTGTGCTTACGAATAATAATAAACTTAGATGATTTCCCATTCACCACTGCAGGATGAAGTCAGACTCCTTAGGGTGCCATATTGGATCCTCTGCACACTGGCTCCACTCTGCTTTTCCAGTCTCAGCTCTTACCACCTCTCCCATTATCTCTGCAATAGTACTGCCACAAATAAGTGCATTTCTCTCATGCCTGTGTCCATAGTTTCATTCTTTGTTCTGTCTGGATTCCTTTTATTTTTTTTCTACCTGGAAGAAAGAGAGAAAGTGAGAGAGGGAGAGATTAATTAAATCGAAGGGTTTTAATAGAGAACAAAATGAGTACTCCATTGAAAACAAAACAAAAATCTTCAGCCTATCACAGAGAAGCCTACCATAGAATTCTACTAAGCATGTTATGAGGACTGGAAGAAATTCACAGATAGAGAAAATTAACGAACTTGGAGAAACTTAAATATAACCTGAACACTCTTCCTCTACAGGGGTTAAAAGTAATTCCATGAAATCATGCTTACAATAAAGAGATCTTGTGTTGATAAATGGACTACCGGACAGTTCAAGAAGCATATTCGTCCTCGATATTCTTCCTGATTAAAGTCATGCTACATGCCATAGGGCCAAAGTTAAATTTGATCCAGAAAGTCTAGCCAATAATGTAGGAAATAACCCTGGACAAGAATTTCTGTTCTTTAAAGACATCCATCCCAGAAATGCAATTAAGAAAATTTTGGACTCCAGAATATTTGAAAGTCTGGGAGTTTTGTTGACATTCTGGAGGACAAACAAATTTTTTTAAAATGGAATATTAGGAATAAATACTTAAAGAAACCAATAAACAAAAATACAAATATCTCTGAAGAAGGGACTGGGTTAAAGATCCATGGGCTTGAAGAAGTCAGCCAAAACATGGTGAAATATCTGTTTGTCATGCTGAAACCAAGTATAAACATTATGTAAAGAAATGGGATAAGATTTTGAAAAGACTATAATTTATACAGATGTTAGAAGTAAGTATAAGTATAAGGTATCCTATAAAGTATAAGATATCCTATAAAGTATAAGGTATCATATAAAACTGAAAAATATAAAAATATTCCCAATGAAGGTAGAGGTAATAAAGACAAGGTAAAGTTTAAACAATTACTTGGGAGCCAAATCCAGCCCAACACGTTTAAGATTTCTGAGCTAAAGTCCTACAAGGCAATACTGTTTTCATCTAGCACTCTTTTTCTTTTGAGATGAATGCCGTTGAATTTTAGTTACATGAGTAAGTGACGACCTCAGGCCATATGTAAGTGTTACAGCTAATAGGCCAGGTGAGGTCCCAGCTGGAAGGCGGCATCAACCATGTATGTGAGTAAGGAAGGTTTCAAGGCAACTGTAGCCCCAGTCTGACTGCGTGAGAAATCCTGAGCAAGAACCACCTGAGTTCAATCAAAGCTCTCCAATCATGAGAAAAAGCAATAAAATGATAATTGCCGGGTTTTTTTTTAAGCCATTAAGATTTGGGGTGATTAATTATGCAGGATATAGACTGGAGCAGATTTTGGTAACTGCAAATGGGGTGCTGCCACATAAAACATGGGAGCAAGCAGTGGGAGGAAGTTAGAAGCACCTTGAGAATACTGTTAGCTGAAGTCTAATGGCCCTCAAGGGGGCTATTGGTAAGGGCTTAAAGAAAAGTGAGACAAATGTTCCTGGAACATGAACCCAAAAGTGTCTGAGACAGATCTCTGTCAAAAAAAATGTTTATTTTGCCAAAGTCAAGGACACACTTGTGACACAGCCTCAGGATGTCCTGATGACATGTGTCCAAGGTGGTCTGAGTACAGCTTGGTTTTGTACATTTTAGGGAGACGTGAGACATCAATCAATACATGTAAAATATACATTGGTTCAGTCTGGAAAGGTGGGACAGCTCAAAGCAGGGACTTCCAGGTCATAGAGAGATTTAAAATCTTTCTGATTGGCAATTTGTGAAAGAGTTATTATCAATAGAAAGAAATGTCTGGGTTGCAAAAAGAGGCTGTGGAGACCTAGGTTTTATCATGCAGATGAAGCTTCCAGGTAGCAGGCTTCAGAGAGAATAGATGTAAATGTTTCTTATCAGACTTAAAGAGTCTGTTCCATCAGCAATTCCAAAAGAAAGGAGGGTATAATGAGGCGTGTCCAGCTCCCCCTTCCCATCATGGCCTGAACTAGTGTTTTCAGGTTAACATTGGAATGCCCTTGGCTGAGAGGGGGGATCCATTTGGATGGTTGGAGGGCCTTAAAATTTTATTTTTGGTTTACACAAAGTTGGATGAAAGGAGATTGTTGTTATATAGTGATGGTAAGTTTGGTAGAGTCATTACCTGTGGAAACATGAAAAATAGATAATGTATCACTGAACTGATGGATCCAGCTAAGGGGATTTCCAGACAGACATCAAAAGTGTCACCTAGTTTCTTTAAGCTACTTATCATAAGGTACAGATAGAGACAAGCAAAATAAATAATTGGTATATATTAACAATCAGCAAAATTAAAAATAGAAGTACTATATAATCCAGCAATTTCAGTTCTGGATATATATCCAAAAGAACTACAAACAGGATCTCAAAGAGATATTTGTCCACTCATGTTCATTGCAGCATTATTCACAATAGCCAGGAGGTAGAAGCAACCTAAATGCCCGCTGACAGATGAATGGGTAAAACAAAATGCAGTGTATGCATACAATAGAATATTATTCAGTCTTAAAAAGGAAGGAAATTCTGTCATGTTACAAAGTAGACATATGTGAAATCAGTCACAAAAAATACTGCATGACTCACTTATATGAGGTATCTAAAGTAGTCAAAATTATAGAAACAGAAAGTAGAATGGTAGTTGCCAGAGGCTGGTGGAAGATGGAGGTGAGGAGTTGTTATTTGGCATATAAAGAGTCTCAGCCATGCAAGATGGGGAGGTTTGTATGACACAGAGCATCCAGCTGACAATATTATACTTGGAAATTGTTGGGAGGGTAAATTTTATAGTACATGTTTCTTTACTACAATGGAAAATATATTAAAAATCCAGAACTTCCTAGGTGTCAACACAATGCTGTTTTTTATTTTCAGGCTCTTCACATGAAAAACAATGTTAAAAATTAAGAAATGGCTTTTAGACAGAGATCAAATCAAGTTCACTTTCAAGAAAATACGGTCTAGAGAGAAAGGCAAGAGTGTGACTGTACAACTCTTTAAGATCTTGAAAAGATTTGAAGGGTACATCACAGACCTTTGCAAGTAGACAAAAGTCTCTATTAAAATCTTAAAAGCATTTCTTGAAGATCCTCTGAATTAAACAATGGGGCTTTTAAAAATCTTTAAGTTGTCCCACAGCAACCTTACAGGGAGCCCAACATAGAAAGGGCTTATTTTTATTCTTATTTGTGAGTGTGGCTTTTGTTGAATGAATCAAACCCCAATAAGATTCTTAGGAAACCTACCATATTTTTCGAGAATTGCACTGCTGAAAACATACTCAGCTTGGATTAAGAGGTACAGAGACATTATAAAATGAAAGGTGGCCTTTGGATCTTTGAACTACTATAAGTAGACACAAGCTGAAAAAAAGAAAAAAATGTACTTAGCTGCAAACACCAGCCATTTCTTATAGAAAAGAAAGAATGATTCACATAGTAGTTGCAAAAATGGTACAGAGGTCCCAGGTACCCTTTACCTAGCCCCCAATGATGATGTGTTAGATAACCAAACCTGTATTTAGTATGTCTTTTCCTCTCTCTCTCTCTCTCTCTCTCTCTTTCTAACTGCTTTTTAAATTTACTCTTTATCTTTGTTTTTCAGCTCTTTGATTATGATGTGCCCAGATATTTTTCTTTGGGGTTTGCTCAGCTTCTTGGATTTATGAGTTGATGTCTTTCGTTAATTTTTAGAGCCTACTCAGTCATTATCTCTTCATTTTCCTCACTTGAATACTTTCTATTTCCTGTATTTAAATTCATTGATTCTTTTTTCCCTTGCTGTGTCCTGTTTGCTTTTAAGTTCATCTAATAAATTCTTCTCTTCTGATATCATATTTTTTATTTCTAATTTTTCCATTTGGTTCCTTTGTAAAAAAATAGATTCAATGTCTATGCCAAATTTCTCTTCTTTGCTTGCATGTTGTCCACCTTTTTCTACTAGATTGCTTAGCATTTTTAAATAGTTATTTTAAAGTTATTGTCCAACATTCTAATGTCAGGGCCATTCCTGAGTCTGTTTCTATTGGGTGTTTTCTTTCTTATTTTTCCATCAGTTACATTTTCTTTTCTTTTCCTGTTTTTTATTTATTTTATTTCATTTTATTTTTTTTGAGACAGGGTCTTGGTCTGTCACCCAGGCTGTAGTGCAGTGGCATGATCACGGCTCACTGCAGCCTCAACCTCCCAGCCCCAAGTGATCCTCCTGCCTCAGCCTCCTCAGTAGCTGGGATTGTAGGCATGCACCATCGTGCCCAGCTAATTTTTTTTTTTTTTTTGAAACGGAGTTTCACTCTGTCGCCCAGGCTGGAGTGCAGTGGTGTGATCTTGGCTCACTGCAAGCTCCACCTCCTGGTTCACATCATTCTCCTGCCTCAGCCTCCTGAGTAGTTGGGACTACAGGCGCCCACCACCATGCCCGGCTAATTTTTTGTATTTTTAGTACAGACAGGGTTTCACCATGTTATCCAGGATGGTCTTGATCTCCTGACCTTGTGATCCTCCCGCCTCGGCCTCCCAAAGTGCTGGGATTACAGGCGTGAGCCACCGCACCCAGCCGTGCCCAGCTAATTTTTAAATTTTTTGTAGAGATGGAGTCTCACCATGTTGCCCAGGCTGGTCTTGAACTCCTGGCCTCAAGTAATCTTCCTGCCTTGGCCTCCCAAACATTTTCTTGCCTCTGTGTGTCTTGTGATTTTTTATTAATCTCTTGACTTTCTGCATCCTAACAGGAAGAAGTCTGTAGCTTCCTTTTTCCATTTATCATCAAAACAAATGCTTTTCCATATTATTATATACTCTTGCTAATCATCATTTTTAATAATTGCAAAATATTTCATTTGATCATTCTTTCATTGTTAGACATTTAGTTGGTTTCTCATTCTTCTCTCTGATTGCATACAGGATGATATGTATAAAAAATAGTAAAGAATGAAGTAAATAATATTTTTCTCTAGAAAAGTGAATGTCCTTCCTTATGTCAGGCCACTAGAGCTGGGGACTGGATCAATCTGTCCAGTAGTTGAGCTGAATCAGGGCTTTGTTGCATCTTTAGTTTGATAATAATCATTGTCAAACAAAAGATGATTTGTTATATCTTTAGTTCACTATTGTCTCTAAATGTTTTGATGGTAGAATTAGGATTTTCTTTTCCGCAGGGCTTGAGGTCTGAGCAATGGCAAGTTTCCAGAGATCTTTTTGTACTTTACAGCTGGGTTATCAGTTTTTTGTTTGTTTGTTTGTTTGTTTTTTGAGACAGAGTCTCACTCTGTCACCCAGGCTGAAGTGCAATGGTACGATCTCAGCTCACTGTAACCTCCGCCTTCCGGGTTCAAGCAATTCTCCTGCCTCAGCCTCCTGAGTAGCTGGGATTGCAGGCACATGCCACCACCCCTGCTTATTTTTTTGTATTTTTAGTAGAAACAGGGTTTCACCATGTTTGTCAGGCTGGTCTTGATCTCCTGACCTCATGGTTTTCAGTTCTTTAAGTGACGGGTGATTTTCTCCTTTACAGCTTGGCTGTCAGCTTTTGTGGTTATTGAGGAGTTCTCTTTGCTCTCCAGTACTACCCCCAGCTTTCTATACCTCAGGAGATACCTGTTTTACTGTCCTGCAGTCTTTGGAGGACAGTTCTTTCCACTCTCTGAAAACCTAGATTGCTTGAGCAAGATTTCTGTCAGCACTTTTTCTCCTCCCCAAGCATTTGGAACTGAAAGCTACAGGTATTTAGGTTGGACTTCTCTGAGCTCTCCTCCTCTGCCTCCCTCATTCCAAGGGCAGCTGCATTGCACTTAGAAGATGCTTTGCACACCTGAAAAGGTATCTGTCTCCGTGCTATCCTGCCCAGTCACATGTATGCTATCCTCGAGCATCCTGTGAAAAGTTAATGAAAGAGTTTGTGGGTGGGTACACACTTGCTATGTGGCTGGGGATCCTTTGAATTCCGATCTGTTATGTCCAACCACATATGGCTATTATATTTGTTAAAGTTTTGGTTGGCTTCTCTTTGTCCACCAGGTAAGGCAGAGTCCTCTTTTTCCTGCCATTACATCAGGAATAAGAGAAGACATGAACTCTTTCTCTTCTGTGAACACTTGTTGCCTTCTGAAGTTTCGCTTATTTAGGTTTATTTGCATCCTCAGTTCTCTGGGAAGTTTTAAAAATATTATTTTATAGCTTATCTGTCTTGCTTTTGGTGTTAGGATGAGAACGATGGTCTCTTGTGACTTTCTACATCCTAACAGGAAAAGGAAGTCTGCAGCCTCCTTTTTTTTCACTTAACATCAAAACAAACACTTTCCTATGTTATTATAAACTCTTGCTAATAGTCATTTTTAATGGTTGCCAAATATTTCATTGAATAGGTTAATCATTCTTCTATTAGAATTTAGTTGGTTTCCAATATTTCTATAGACAATCAAAAAAAATTTTAAATCCCTACTCATGCATGACAGTGCATAATGAGAACTGAATTCTTGTTAAAATTCAGTAACATACCTTGAGGTGGCAGGAAGTAAGTGCTTTTTAATACAGTTTATCAAAGCTTCTCTGAACAAAAATATTCATAATGATGCTAAAAAAGCACACTGTGGATTTTATCAATTTTATATGCATGCTTTTAAAGTATAAAGCATTATATAAGGCATCTGTTTTATTTGTCCACTAAGCGTCCTCCCTTCCTGCTTCTGGAGGAGGATGAGTAGTGGACAAATAAAACAGATGCTCCATTTGCAAAAGTCTATTAAAAACGTGTTTTCTAGGAGTAAAAATAATAGAACATGAAATGTAATCAGGGACTCATGTATGGATTTCAGAGGGTCCATAAATTCCCTAAAAGGCCACACATAAATGAGCATATTTTTATTTTTCTTGGGAGAGACTCCATAACATTTACCAATTATCAAAGAAGTCCATGATCGTAATATGGTGAAGAATCCTTGCCATGGAGCTGATGCATTTAAATAGATTGTGAGCCCTTGCAGGTATCTTAATAGATCAATGACCTCACATGTTTGAAAATAATAAATGTACATTTCAACATGCCTAGCCATCATGCATATCACCAGAATAATCTTAATATTAGTAATATATTAGTTTTAGTATTAGTTATTTTATTCATAAACTTAGTTTATAAATTGGCCTTTCCCACTAGACTGTGAGTTCTTTGCTTTTTATTCATCTGTGTTTGCCTAGGACCTAGCACTGTGCTTAGTAAAATGACAGATGTTTAAAAATGTTTGTTGAATAAAGAATGGATAAATTAATGAACCAATATTAAATGGTTGGTATCTATTTTGAAAAATTAAGGAAACAATATTACATAGTTGATATCTAATTTTGAAATGTTGGCAGACATCTTCCCTACTCCCTTTCTCTATCATACAAACTAGTTTTTCTTTGTGTCTCACTAAAACCATAGACTTGACTTTGTCTTACTTTCAATATTCTAAGGTTAGAAACCATAACCCAGAGATAGGAGAGCACGGATAATAATAGCCTGGATGATGAGAAAGGCGTAATCAGGAAAAGGGCACTGGCTTGACTCAGATCATCCACAAAATGAAAATCAACTTACAAGAAAGTGAAAATGAATTACACATTGTAAATTAATTTTTTTTTTCTTTTGAGACAGAGCCTTGCTCTGTCACCTAGGCTGGAGTGCAATGGCACCATCTCGGCTCACTGCAATCTCTGCCTGCCAGGTTCAAGTAATTCTCCTGCCTCAGCCTCCTGAGTAGCTGGGACTATAGGCACATGACACCACACCCGGCTAATTTTTTGTATTTTTAGTAGAGATGGGGTTTCACCATGTTAGCCAGGATGGTCTCGATCTCCTGACCTCGTGATCTGCCTGCCTTGGCCTTCCAAAGTGCTGGAATTACAGGCATGAGCAATGGACTTTTTTTTTACTAAGTTCTGTAGTATCTTATTTTGCCCTTTTTGGACTTATTTATTCCTAATAATAGCCATATTTTGGACTATTAAAAATAACTGATCTAGGATAACACCAGTGGGACTTTCAGGATTCACCGTTTTATCTCTCAACTTTTCAGAGTAGTATTTAGCCAGGTTGCATTCCCTCACGTGAAACCCTGCAATATGTGCAGATTAGTAAATAAAATGTTTTCTGCCATTTATGTCATCCACCCCAGAGTTAGGACTCTATCTTACCAGTATTTTATTTACAATAAAATATTTATAATATTACTTATACTATTTTAACTTACAATATCAATACCACCATTAATAGGAATAATACCTTGGAACATATTAATATGCTTTCTCTTACTTTTCTGCCTTCGTGAACTTCTCCTTAGTCAGCTCAAGACATGAAGTTAGGGAATGGCAATTAGAACCGTTACAGAGGAATGCAAAAGGAAAACAGAGAGTTAATATTCGGCTTGTGACATTTAAGATGATATTTTACACAAAGGCAATAATCTTGCAGGACAGGCTTTATCAAGATAGAGGATTTTTCAAATGCTTTCATCTCCCCCTTGGCGTATCTAGATCTAGGGCTCAGAAAAAGACACCATAGAGTCTTAGAAAGGGGAAAGTAGAATGATGATTTCCAATTTCATCCATGTCCCTACAAAGGACATGAACTCATCATTTTTTATGGCTGCATAGTATTCCATGGTGTATATGTGCCACATTTTCTTAATCCAGTCTATCATTGATGGACATTTGGGTTGGTTCCAAGTCTTTGCTATTGTGAATAGTGCCACAATAAACATACGTGTGCATGTGTCTTTATAGCAGCATGATTTATAGTCCTTTGGGTATATACCCAGTAATGGGATGGCTGGGTCAAATCGTATTTCTAGTTCTAGATCCCTGAGGAATCGCCACACTGACTTCCACAATGGTTGAACTAGTTTACAGTCCCACCAACAGTGTAAAAGTGTTCCTATTTCTCCACATCCTCTCCAGCACCTGTTGTTTCCTGACTTTTTAATGATTGCCATTCTAACTGGTGTGAGATGGTATCTCATTGTGGTTTTGATTTGCATTTCTCTGATGGCCAGTGAATCATCATTCTCAGTAAACTATCGCAAGAACAAAAAACCAAACACCGCATATTCTCACTCATAGGTGGGAATTGAACAATGAGAACACGTGGACAGAGGAAGGGGAACATCACACTCTGGGGACTGTTGTGGGGTGGGGGGAGGGGGGAGGGATAGCATTGGGAGATATACCTAATGCTAGATGACGAGTTAGTGGGTGCAGCGCACCAGCATGTCACATGTATACATATGTAACTAACCTGCACATTGTGCACATGTACCCTAAAACTTAAAGTATAATAATAAAAAAAAAAATAAATAAATAAATAAAAAATAAAAATAAAAATAATAAAAAAAAGAAAGGGGAAAGTAGAAGTGGCCTTTCCGTCTTGGGTATTGTGGAAAAAAGGAAAGGAGAAGGTAGGGAGATAATGGGTTCTAATATCCCTTCTTCCACCTAAGCTGGTCAAGGCCACAGCAGATTAAAATTGGTGGATCAGTTTAGAGACAGATAAAAGGCAGTTTTTAAACTTTTTAAGCTACTCTTTGTTTCTGGATGCCTTGGGAAGGACTGAGAAGTTCCTACAAGCCCCTAAGAGAGGACATGGCAAGTAGCTGAGTTGAGAACTGGTGGTCCTGAAACAGGGGCCTAATATGTAAAAAGCAGTTATAACAGCTGAGAAGCGGCCACCTGGGCCAGAATATAAAGGAACACAGAATAAAAATGCAGAAGAATCTTCAATATTAGTGAGGCCAAATTATGCAGGGAGCTCTACTAGCCTCTGACCCAGCTGAGAGATACCCAGCTACAAATTACACTGACTGCAGACCCCAGGATGCTGTAAAGGCAAGCTGTACCCTGGAGGATGTGGTCGTTATTGTGGAAGTCAGAGGAAAGAGTACAAGGACACTGTAGTTTCTGAGGAAGTTTTCCTTTGTGGCCACAAGGCCACAGCCAGCCACACATTTTCCTGTCTTGGAGAGAAGCAAGGAAAGGATAGAGAGGAAATCTGATACTGATTATTTTTATCTATAAAAATGAACATTTACTATTTAAGTTATTGTATCAGTTAACAACAGCATTAGGCAAAAACTTAAGGTTTATGTCACACTACCCAGGCAATAGAGGCTAGTGAAGAAGATCAAATCAGTTACAGAGAAAATTAAACATTTTCTTTGCATATGTGAGTTGTAGTGTGAATGAAATTTACAGACCCACTACACATGTATACTTACACTTTAAAAGTTTTATAATATATTCATCTTCTAAGCAAATAACTAAACTATGAAAATAAATAAACCACACTCTTTTTTAAACATGACTTTTAGAATACAGGGCTCACAAGCCACAAGGCAACATGTAATAATGATAGTAGGTGCTAAAATCCAGTGCTTTAAGCACTTTATGCTGGCCACTGTGAAGACAAGGGTAGACTTTTTCACACTAAAGAATGGATTGTTCACTTTGGGAAAAGAGCAGATATCAATTCTTTCCATAGACATTACAAATAAATTTCCTTGAATTGTAGAAATAAGTAACATTCTTTAACTTTTGGGAAGTTTCAATCATTTCATTAGGCTCTTCATGAGTTTACAGACATTCGTTGGGTGAAGACAAGATTAAACAGGACCAGAATTTCTATTTCACATCAAGCCAATAATAATTTAAGAATATATTACATGTAAGATACTGTACAGGATCTAATAAGAAAGACTCAATTTCTCTCTTAAAACAGTAAAACTGATGCTATAGGGAAGCAGACAATTATTGTTAAAGGAATGCTATGGATAAAGAAGATAATAAAAGTCCCAAGAAGGGAATGCATGCATCTTTAGCACTGAATATAGTCCTTTGCTCCTTTGCAACCAGTAAAGACTCAATTAACATATGTTGTTGAATAAATAAATGAGACTCACTTATGAGGTAGAGACAAGATTTTCTGAATAAGGTTGAATGTGAACAGGATTTTAAAAGGCAGAAAGGATTTGGATATGAAAAATGAATGGGGGGGTCATTTGTAGGGGAAAGGTATATTTTCAAGGGATAGAAGTACAGGGTGTGTTTAATGAACAATGGTACAATTAGTTGAGATAGAAAAGGGACATCATGAGTTGTGGGCAATACTAAGGAGCTTCAATGGGAATTTTCCTGGACCAGTGACTTCAAAGCTAGCCTGAGGAGTTTGGACTATCTATTACCAACATCAAAGCATTATAGAGACAATTGGCTGGGTAATGCGATCAAAGGCGTATTTCAGGACAGTGAAACTACTAGCACAAACGGCATGGGTTAGAGTAGCGAGAGATGGAAGAAGTAGAAACCAGTTACAAGGCTATTGCTATGGTATGTTCAGTTCCTTTTATTGACCTTAAATTCCTTGAAGAGAGGAACCCTATTGCTGTCTTTTTGGCTCTTAACTGGACATCACAGGTACTAAATATATGTTCATTTATTCTTGACTTTGGGTATTGGTGGTGGAAATGGAAAGAAGGGTGTATTAGTTCATTCTCACGTTGCTATTAAGAAATACCTGAGACTGGGTAATTTATAAAGAAAAGAGGTTTAATTGGCTCATGGTTCTGCAGGCTGTACAAGAAGTATAGTGGCTTCTGCTACTGGGGAGGCCTCAGAGAACTCCCAATCATGGCAGAAGGCAAAAGGGGAGTGAGGAGTCTTACATGACTGAAGCAGGAGCCGGGGGTGGGGGAAGTGCTACACACTTTTAAACAACAAGATCTCCTAAAAATTCACTCACTATTGCAAGGACAGCATCAAGGGAATGGTGCTAAACGATTCTTGCGAATCCGCCTCCATGATCAAATCACCTCCCAAAGGGCCTTACCTCCCACATTGGGGATAATAATTCAACATGAGATTTGGGCAGGGACACAGATTCAAACCATATCAAAGGGATTCATTGATTTATTTGTTAAATAATCAGTAGGTAGGGGCAACTATATTCCTGGCACTGTAAGAGATGTTGCAAAAGATAATCAACAGGACTTAAGAGTAAGGAGAAAGAACACTTACGTTTTTGCATGTGTGGACATCAAATGTGGCATATCTGGTGAGAAGACTGTCATTTTCTGACTCTTTTAATCATTATAAGCCTTTGTTTCCTAAACCATCCCTCTTGGGGGAAACATAGGGTGTAGGTAATAACTTCACTGATAATATAATGTTTGGGTCGGATTCCATATCCAGCAGGGTCACTGGGATCCAGCAACCAGTCTAGAAACTGTCTTTTCTTATCTGGGTTGGCCCAGGTAACTTGCAAGTTCTAATTGTCTACATTTGAGTTTTCTTGGTGTTTTACCCCCCAAGAAGTGCTCAATTTCTTGTTCCTTCTTCCATCTCAGAGACTTACCTTAGTCTGCCCACTGAGATGACCTTGTGACTCCTACCACAATTTCCACTGGGATCTCTTCTTCACCTGGATTATAATGACTTTATTAGACTCTGAAAAAGCCACGTTCTTTTTTTTTTTTTTTTGAGACGGAGTCTCATTCTGTCGCCCAGGCTGGGTGCAGTGGTATGATCTTGGCCCACTGCAACCTCCGTCTCCCAGTTCAAGCAATTCTCCTGCCTCAGCCTCCTGAGTAACTGGGACTATAGGCGTGTGCCACCACACCTGGCTAATTTTTTGTATTTTTAGTAGAGACGGGGTTTCACCATGTTAGCCAGGATGGTCTCGATCTCCTGACCTCGTGATCAGCCCTCCTCGACCTCCCAAAGTGCTGGGATTACAGGCATGAGCCACTGTGCCCGGCCAAAAGCCATATTCTTAAAATTCCTTATAATTTATCTGGGGCTTTACAGAAAGGTACTTAAGTGGGTTGGCAAAATCATACCTCAAAATATCCCTCCCCTCAGTAATCAGTCTGTGCCCCAGGTATGTAAATTCTTTTCTCCTCAGAGTAAGTTTCCTAATCTCCATATGCCACACACATTGGCTCCTTCTTTTTTGAAGAGTCTTATATTTCATGCAAATTGGATATGACAAACCAGGTAAGTATAATATATAGATTAGGTCTCTTTTTGGATACTTGCTTAACAAGTTATTAATAGTTAAATACAACATCCCTAGAAATAGATAATATTTTTGTTATCTGTTTTTTATTTCTGAAGAAACAGAATAATAAATGACTTCCCTAATATGACCAAATGACTAAAGTTTTATTGTTGTTGTTATGTTTTGTTTTTACTACTAGAAAAAAAAAAGCACAGGGCTTTATTATCCCCATAACAAAGGGTAGGTCTTCATAGGATGAGGGAGTGAGTTCTGTCAATGGGGAGGTGGCCCCCACTTGTTGGTGATGACTGAGTCCCTGCACAGGAAGAGCTTGGAGATGAAGTGGTCTTTGTTGGCTGGCTTGGACTTCTTCTTGCCCTTGCCACCGTTGCCCCCCTTGGGGACCTCAGTACACATCTCCTTCACATTCTCCAGCACCATGTTGCAGTGTCTACTCAAGGCCTTCGCAGCCCAGCAGCTTGTTGTTGTCAGTAGTTGGTGAGCACTTCAGTGTTGTTCTTGACTGACTGCGGAGCACAGAGTGGACCCTCCTCCCCGTGCTTCTGCATCTCCTCTGGGGACATGTCCCTCTGGGGTTTGTTGAGGAGGTTCAGGGTGGTTACTATGTTCTTGGTTCACTCCCATCTCCTCTGCGTTGCTTCTGTTTTTCCAAATGACTACAGTTTATCAGTTATAAGCTTGACTACATAACACTGCTACTGCCTCTCCCCCCAATAACTCTGAGCACAGTCCCTGGCAACATAATGTGCTGATAAATGCTTAATAACTGGCTGTCTGTGATGGTGGGAGGCAGTGTTTGCAGCGTTTGCCAGTTTCCATGGTGTAAATTCTCCTAACATTCTTTCAAGCTACCCATGTGATGTCACTGAACTTGGAATTGGGAAGAGATGGGCGCAATCACCTCTTGCAGGCTGGTATGAGCCAGCTCCGGTATACCTCTGCCTGGCACCTAGTGTGAGTTTAGAATTTAATTATTCCTCTGTGAGCATTTGCCATGACAAATAACAACAGTCAAAAAACTTTGTTATAGCATATCTTATTTGGGGAGTCTTGGTTTTGATGCTAAAGCCAGTTTTAGGAGGCACGTACCTACACATTGCTAGTTGCCAGTTAATTATCTTGCAGAGCTAAAAGTTATTCATTTAGGCACAGACACTAAAACTTCATCCAGTTTTTCAAAATATGGACTTACTTTGTCAAGTAAGATGGTAGGTGGGAGAATACAAGATTGATTGCCTTTTAGATTCAAGCAGAAGTGAGGGTGAATATTAATATCAGGTGGCCACAGGGAAGGCCTGTATTCTAGAAAACTCTGGATTAGTTTAGAGGCTTGGGTTCTAGTCTCAATCCTGCCACAAACTAATTGTGAGACCATATCCACTAAAGCCTGCTGGGTGTGAATTTCTTCATCTGAAAAAATGAGAGAGTTGGGCCAGATTATCTGTATGCTCCCTTACAGCTCCATCATTCGAATTGTACAAATTAATATAGAAGATAATAATGAGAAGAGTTTTAAAATTATAAAACTTATATACAAATTATGGTAACATGTATACCCAAAATAAGCAGGGTCTTGAAGAGATATTTGTACACTCATGTTCATAGCAGCTTTATTCATAACACAGATAAGGTGGAAGAAACCCAAGTGTCCGTCAATGGATGAATGGGTAAACAAAATGTGGTATATACATGCCAGAGAATATTATTCAGCCTTACAAAGGAAGGAAATCTTGTCACATGCTACTACATGAATGCTAAGTGAAATACGACAGCCACAAAAGGATAAATGCTGCATAATTCCACTTATATGAGATAGAGGCCGGGCATGGTAGCTCACGCCTGTAATCCCAGCACTTTGGGAGGCCAAGGTGGGTGGATTGCTTGAGTCCAGGAGTTCAAGACTGGCCCGGGCAACATGGCAAAACTTCATCTCTACAAAATTGTACATATATATATATATATATATATATATTAGAGTAGTCAAATTCCTACAGACAGAAAGTAGAATGGTGATTGCCAGGGACTGGGGAGAGGGGAAAATATGGAATTGTTTAAAGAGTATACAAAAGTTCCAGAGATGGATTACACAACAATGTGAATATACTTAACACCCCTGAACTGTACACTTAAAAATCGTTAAAACAGGCTGGGCGCGGTGGCTCATGCCTATAATCCCAGCACTTTGGGAGGCCGAGGCAGGCGGATCACCTGAAGTCAGGAGTTTTGAGACCAGCCTGGCCAACATGGTGAAACCCTGTCTTTACTAAAAATACAAAAATTACCTGGGCATGGTGGCAGGCGCCTGTAATCCCAGCTACTCGGGAGGCTGAGGCAGGAGAATTGCTTGAAGCCAGGAGGCTGGTGACAGCGAGACTCCGTCTCAAAAAAACAAAAAGTTAAAATGGTATATTTTGTATTACGTGTGTCTTCTCACAATAAATAATTATAATAACAAAAGAAACATGAGGGAATTTTGCGAATGTTTGTTAGTGTTCTTGGAGCTTTGCCAAATGTGGTTCCCCAAATAGCCCTCAGTAGGTGATAGTAGGGTTTTATAGTAAAATCACGAGTGTAAATTAACATCTTGGGGATTTCCAATGAGGTTCTTCGGAGAAACCTGTTTATATTAGATGACAAAACATGGTATTCTGCATTTTTGAAATTGTAGATTTGCTGAGATTCAGGCTAATTAAAATTATAAATATAAATTCCCTCTGATTAGCCTGTATTTAAAAAATTGATTCAAAGACAAACCAAAGTAAATGATATAAATCCACTTGCAAATGACAAAGCACACATTTGCTTTGATTGGTCTTTTTCTGAATGTTCAAATGCAGGCATTTAACCCTGCCCATAGCTCACAAATTCCTGAGGGCAGCCCGGGCATATCACTGTGTTAGGCAGCCTGGCTCCTCAGAGGAGACACTTTCTATCTGACTTTTTCCACCTGTATATTCCCAGGTCTCCTCTCCTCTAACAAGATGCTGGATTTTTTTCTTTTCTTTTATTTTCTTTTTTTTTTGAGGCAGCGTCTTGCTCTTTTGCTCTGTCATTCAGGCTGGAGTGCAATGGCACATCTCGGCTCACTGCAACCTCCACCTCCCGAGTTCAAGTGATTCTTCTGCCTCAGCCTCCCATAGGCGCATACCGCCATGACTGGCTAATTTTTGAATTTTTTTTTTTTTTTTTTGGTGGAGACAGACTTTCACCCTGTTAGACAGGCTGGCCGCAAACTCCTGGGCTCAAGCGATCTGCCCGCCTAGGCCTCCCAAAGTCCTGGGATTGCGGGAGTGAGCCAATGTGACAGGACCAGATGCTGGATTTTTAAGTAGCGTTAACATTGTCCTGAATTTTGCTCTTCACTATCTTGCAAATTAAGGCAAGTAGGAAGGGGGCGTGGGTGACAATCCTCAACAGTTTGCTATTGGCTTTCTTTTCATGCCAGAAAAGCAGTGGATATACCAACATTTCAGATATTGACGTAAGGCCAAGGCCTTTCTTTTGAATATAGACTGACTGGTTAGAGTCCTATGTCATCTTTCTTGTACAAAACTGCATTCATAATTCATTTTTTATTTCCAGTTTAAGTTCTTTAAACTACAACAAGAAATAAAAGACACTGTGAAGCAAAGCATTTTGCATGCAGAATTTATTCATATTTTCATTTTTTCCTAACCTCTTATTGTTGTCCTACTGTCATATTCAAACTTAATTTTACAGATTTTTTTTTTTAGCAATTTGCCATTCTTGAGTATATGTAACACTTTCAAATTTGTTTTCAAAGAAACAGGTCTTAATTTTAAATTTATATCAATTAGTTTTTCTAATCTTCACTTAAATGTTATAATTATAGAAATAAATCAACTGGCATGACAGATTTGTTAACAAATTCAACTCAATGATCCTTGGTATATTTACAACATTCACAAAATTTACAAGTATATTTCTGATCTGGGCGTTGTAGAAATCTGTGTCTATAATAGAAAATTGCCTTCTCACCCAGCAGCAAGCAGCCAGCCTGCCTGCCTCTTCTGTTCTTTACTAACCCTTATTGCCTAAATGATCTCTTCCTAGTTCCATGGCTTTAAATGACATCTATATAATGCCACCTCCCACAATTGTGTCTTTAGCTGGGATCTCTCCAGAGAACTTCAGTCTCCCATATTCAATGTGCAACTCTACATTTCCATTTAGAAACCTGGCAGGCACTTCAAATTTAGCACGTTCAAATAAAATTCATTCTACCTCTCTCAAACTTGTCCCTCTCCTTTCTTTCCCGTATTGTAAAATGCAACTCTATTTTTCTAGTTGTTTAGGTTAATAACCTATTACTCATTGCACTTGATCTAGAAGTATATTCTCCCAACTTTACTTCTGAATTATACCTCAAATCTAACACTTGGGCTGGGTGTGGTCTTGCATCTGTAATCCTAGCACTTTGGGAGGCCAAGGTGGGAGGATCACTTAGGATCACTTAAAAGAAGACGTGATTTTGTTCTTTTTTCTGGCTGCATAGTATTCCACAGTGTATATGTACCACATTTTCTTTATCCAATCCACTGTTAATGGGCACCTGGGTTGATTCCATGCCTTTGCTATTGGTTATACCATTTTATATATATACCAGGAGTTTGAGACCAGCCTGGGTAACATGGTGAGATCCCATCTCTAAAAGAAGAAAAAAATAGCTGGGTGTGGCGGTGCACCCCTGTAACTCCAGCCACTTGGGAGGCTAAGGCAGGAAGATAACTTGAGCCCAGGAGGCTGAGGCTGCAGTGAGCCATAATTGTGCCACTGCACTACAGCCTGAACTCTTTACATTAAGCAAAACTGAAATTCTGTACTCATTCACCTCCATTCCCTTCTCCCTCTAGCTCCCATCCTACTGGAGGTACCTTATATAAAGGGAAACATACAATATTTGCCCTTTTATGACTGGCCTGCTTCAGGTAGCATGACGTCCTCAAGGTTTATCCATGTTGTAGCATGTGTAAGAATTAATTTTTTTTTAATTTTTTTAAACTTTTTTAGATGCAGTCTCACTCTGTCACCAGGCTGGAGTGCAGTGGCTCGATCTCGGCTCACTGCAATCTCTGCCTCCCGGGTTCAAGCGATTCTCCGGCCTCAGCCTCCCAAATAACTGGGACTACAGGCACCCGATGCAACACCCGGTTAATTTTTTTGTATTTTTAGTAGAGACGGGGTTTCACCGTGTTAGCCAGGATGGTCTCAATCTCCTAACCTCGTGATCTGCCCACCTCGGTCTCTCAAAGGGATTATAGGTGTGAGCCACAGTGCCTGGTCCTTCCTTTTTAAGACTGAATAATATTCTATTGTATGTATATACCACATTTTGTTCACACATTCATTTGTTGAATATGTGGGTTGCTTCCACCTTGGCTATTGTGAATAATGCTGCTATAAACATGATGTACAAATATCTGTTTGGGACTCTGCTTTCAGTCCCTTTGGGTATATACTCAGAAGTAAAATTGTTAAATCATATACTACATTTTTAATTTTTTGTGGAACTGCCATAGTGTTTGCTACAGTGGCTACACCCTTTTACTTTTAATTTTTAATTTTATTTTTCCAACTTTTAGACTCAGGAAGTACATGTGCATGTTTGTTACAAAGGTATATTGAGTGCTGCTGAGGTTTCGGATACAATAGAACCTATCACCCAGTAGGCATAGTACCCAGTAAGTAGTTTTTCAGTCCTTATCCTCCTCCCTCTAGTAGTCTCCAGTATCTATTGTTCCCATCTGTATGTCTGTGTTTACCCAATGTTTAGCTTCTATTTATAAGTGAGAACACGTGATATTTGGTTTTCTGTTTCTGTGTTAGTTTGCTTAGGATAATGGCCTCCAGTTGCATCTATGTTGCTGCAGAAGACATTATTTTGGTTTTTTTTCTGGCTACATAGTATTCCACAGTGTATGTGTACATTTTCTTTATCCAACCCATGTTAATGAGCACCTGGGTTGATTCCATGCCTTTGCTATTGGTTATACCATTTACATTCCCATCAACAGTACACAAGGGTTCCATTTTTTCCATAACCTTGCCTACCCTTGTTATTTTCTGGGTTTTTTTTTTTTTTTGGCTGGGGGGGTTGGTGGTAGATAGTAGCCATCCTAATGGGTGTGAAGTGGTATCTCATTGTGGTTTTGATTTGCATTTCCCTAATGATTAGTGATAATATCTTTTCATGTACTTACTGTCATTTATATATCTTCTTTAAATAAATGTTGGTTCAAGTCCTTTGCCCATTTTTTAATCAAGCTGTTTGTGTTTTTGTTGTTGAGATGTAGTTCTTTACATAGCCTGGATATTAATCCTTATGAGATACATGATTTACAAATATTTTCTCCCATTCTGTAAGTTTCCTCTTCACTCTGTTGATTGTGTCCTTTGATGCACAGAAGTTTCAAATTTTGATGTAGAAAAGTCATATATTCTTTTAATTGCTTAATACTATCTCATAGATCAGTGTGGTCTATGGATTGCAAATCAAACAACCAAAAAAGAATATTGGGTTCTTCTCTACCTTTTCTTCAGAACTAATTTGACAATAACATTGGACATATCACAAATGACCATCTATGATTCTTTTCTCACCAATAAAATATATGATGTCTTCATAGAAGATAAATTATAAAATATTTTCTGTGTATTTTAAAAGAAAAAAACCCTTCAGAGTAAAGTTTACCTTATCTTTACTATGTTTTCCAAGCAGGTATGATTTCACAGCTATTTAAGTAGTTAACAGAAATCTAATATTCTGAATCTATCTCTAAAACTTTCTGAAGGTGGTGGTGAGTACTGTCAATCCCTTGCTGTCACATGATATAATAAGATAGATTCACTTTGTTGCCAAAATAGATGCATCAACATTGTTTTGATGGGTAAAGCTATTAACAACATCCATTCTCTAATATCAGATCATTTCCCCACCTACAATTCCATCAGAATCTATTGGCTTGCTGATGGCTAACACTGTCAGATTTTCCATTAGAAGTAATCCCACAGGGGCTGTGTGCGGTGGCTCACACCTGTAATCCCAGAACTTTGGGAGGCCGAGGCGGGTGGATCACTTGAGATCAGGAGTTTGAGACCAGCCTGGCCAACATGGTGAAACCCTGTTACTATTAAAAAACAAAAAATTAGCCAAGCATGGTGGCACGTACCTGCAATCCCAGTTAGTCAGAGGCTGAGACTGGAGAATTGCTTGAAACTGGGAGGTGGAGGTTGCAGTGAGGCGAGATTGCGCCATTGCACTCCAGCCTGGGTGACAGAGCAAGGCTCCATCTAAAAAAAAAAAAAAAAAAAAAAAGTAATACTACACAGGATTAAATTTAGGACAAATTTTATTACTTTATCTTTATATATTTTCACTATCCTGCCCAGGCTCATCTCAAACTCCTGGGTTCAAGAGATCCCCCACTTAGGCCTCCCAAAGTGTTGAGATTACAAGTTCGAGCCACTGAGCCTGGCCAACAAATTTTATTATACTGTCAAATTTTATCATACTAGATATTTGCATATTTTCTCTGCTTATAAAATTACTGAGAAGCATCACAGCAGAATTCCAATTCTCTAAATATGGTGTAGCTATCATTATGTTAGACTGATAACATGATGACCAAAGCTGTGAGAACTGCCATCTTTGTTACAGGGTCAGAGAAGTTTCCAGAACATGCATTAAGTAAATAAAGTGTAAATAGATCTTTTCCTTGTGGAAAATTCCACTGGGATGGTGACTTGTACACATTGTGTCACCTCTTTCCAAAACTATGATTTTATTCATTATTAAAGTGATTACTTTAAAACCATTATTTGCATCAGGCAGTCAGACTGACTTACTCCAACAATTGAGTTCTCCAAACCAGAGCAAGCAATACACGGTGTTTTTTTATTTTTTTGAATCATGTTCCAAAATGAATGTCTAAGTTCCATATCTGATGATAATCAGATGGAGCTAAGTGTGGTTGGGTGGGGAAGAAAAAGGCTAGAAACTGGACTTACCTCCATGCCCTGAATTATACTTTTGCTATAGTTCAACAAAGACTCTGCCTGTTGAAGAAGCAACTGATGGGAGAGAATATGTTTGGAAAGCAGTAAAAGAGTAAAAGATTACAAATTTTTAGAAATCTTGGCTTGACCACTTATTAGTTATGTCAATTTAAGCAAGTTATTAAACCCTTCTAAACCTTATTTTCCTCATGAGTAAAATGATAATTCATTTACTTATTCATTCATTTACTTAACAGAATTGAGGGTGGGGAGATGTTTACTGTGTACAGGAGTGTCTTGAGTGAAGCCACTTTTTCTTTTCTTAGCATTTAGAGCTCCTAATCCCAGGAAACAGAGAAAGGCAGACATGCATGTATACACACAGTTCAAGTCTTCCAGGGAGAGTACAGTTAAGTTAAATATGAAACTTGTTGCTATACATAATCTTTTTGCCCAAGTGACACTGATACACTTTTTTCCATAACCTTCCACTTTAGATTTTTAATGCTGGAAAGGGGATAGTATATGAATTACGGAATGAACTTTTAAGTCCACCTGACACAGATTCAAGTACCAGTACCAGTGTAATAAAGCAATGTGAGTTGCTATTGCAGATCAACCTCAAATTTTCAGTGGTTTAATACAATCAAAGCACCAGCTTCTGTACTAGGCCCTGGAGCATATTAGTGAGCAGGACACATACATCCCTATTCTCCAGTGAAATAATAATAACATGTATAAGGCTCAGTACAAAAGTAAATATAATGGCAATAATTGTTAGCAGTTATTGAGTGCTCTCCATGTGGCAATTTTAAGCATTTTATGAAAATAGTTTTTCAACCTCACACTAATCTTTTGAGAAGAGTACTCTAATTACCCTCTTTTAGCAGATGTGGAAACTGAGGCAGACAATGGTTAAGTAACTTGCAGAAGTAATAAGTGGGAGACCTGGGATTTGAACCCAAGTGATTTAGCTCCCAAACCTGTTTGCTTACCTATGCTCAGGGTCAGACCCACAGGCATGTGACCTGTACAGTCACACAGGGCTCTATGCTTAGAAGGGCTCTGCACTTAGCTTAATGCTTTGTGGCTGCTGCCATCTTAAGCTTTTGAATATTTTTTGAACACAGGGCTCTGCATTTCCATTTTGCACTGGGTTCTGCAAATTATATAGCTGGTCCTGACTATGCTATGCTATCACAGCAAAAGAAAAATCAGGCATTTCAAAAAGAGCATGGAAGTTGTCAACTTTCAAAACTGTTCAGAAATTATTTTATTTGTTTAGTCAAATATTTTCTAATCCGTAACGTGCCATGAACAACAAAGGGCACAACCATCAAAAGATTACCTCTGTGTAGGCCCCAGGCCAAAATGGTATGCTTTACAACTTACCAGAATCTCTCATTTGATCTTCCACAGCAACCTTATATTAAAGGCAGCTTATATATTCTCATTTTACAGATGTGGAATTTGAAGCTTACGTGATTTGCCCAAGGTCACATTGCTGTTTAAAGTAAAATAGAGATTAGATTGCAGAAGGTTTGACTCATGGTTGGGACCTTTCCCACTACTCTTTGTGGCTTCTAATTCTTGAAATGTTATTATTGAGAGCACTCAATAACTGTTAACAATTATTGCCATTATTTTTATTTTTGTACTGAGCCTTATGAGATATGTGTTGTTATTATTTCACTGGAGAATAGGGATGTACGTGTCTTGCTTGCTAAAGAGCTAATGCAGCTTTATGAACAAGCAAACTATAGAGAAGTTTGATCTGCCGACAATGTTATAGTAATTCTCATTATGAAGATTTGGGTTTTACGGTACTTTGGCTCAAAGCCTGAGATGATGTCGTTTTTAATGATTCAAGGCATCTACAAAAGTTAAACCTCTTAACCACAGCTGACTGGGTAAAATGCATCGAACAGGCTTACTTTTGTAATAAAACAATCCATGTTATGGCATCTGAAAGGGCAGG
The DNA here is from genome assembly GCF_000001405.40 of Homo sapiens. NCBI lineage: Eukaryota > Metazoa > Chordata > Mammalia > Primates > Hominidae > Homo > Homo sapiens. The sequence continues at coordinate 231,485,690 of NC_000001.11, forward strand.
TTTTCAGAGACTGGCTCAGGAGGGTGGCTTAAGAAATGTGATTAAATAAGAATTGCCAACCAGTTATTACCTAGGTGGCTGCTGGGAGGGGTTGAGTGACATGGGAGAGACAGCTTGAGGTTCTCAGAGCATCCTCCCTAGTGAGTTCCTGCCCAGGATGTTCGGGGCTGATGCTGTGAAACTGGAGTCTAGGAGTTAGGCTTGAGCCTGTGACCATAGGATCAAATGTGAACAGGAGGATCTTGGACAAAGTCATTTCTTAGGTAAGCTGAAGGACTTAGAGTTCCCACTTCCAGGATATATGGAATGGCACACATGCGTTGTGGAGACACACAGACATTCAGGCTTCCAGGGAGAGTACAATTAAGTAAAATGTGAAACCTGATTCTGTACATTCTTATTGTCCCAGTGAATCAGACACTTTTTTTTTTTCATAAATTTTTACTTTGGGCTTTTATTGTTGGAGACAGTATAGGATTGCTGCTGGAAATATGGCTCTTTGAGTTAGTCTGACACAGCTTCAAGGACCAGCACCAGTGTATTTTATTTGTTAATGTTAGCGCTATTGAAAATAAATCTCAGGCTGGCTGTGGTGGGTCACGCCTGTAATCCCAGCACTTTAGGAGGCTGGGGATGGCAGATTACCTGAGGTCAGGAGTTCAAGACCAGCCTGGCCAACATGGTGAAACCCTGTCTCTACTAAAAATACAAAAATTAGCCAGGCGTGGTGGCGGATGTCTGTAATCCCAGCTACTCGAGAGGCTGAGGCAGGAGGAGAATCGCTTGAACCCAGGAGGCGGAGGTTGCAGTGAGCCAAGATCGTGCCATTGCACTCCAGCCTGGGCAACAGAGTGACACTCCATCTCAAAAGAAAAAAAAAAATCTCAAATTTTCAGAGTATAATGTTCTTGGTTAGGTGGCTTTCCATGTGGTCATTCAAGGACTCATACCCCTAGGACATTGTGGCTCCCACCCTCCTCTAGGTCCTTGGTGTTCTCTCCATTCAGCTAGTAGATTACAAGAGAGAGAACACCTGGGAAATCGTGAAGGTATTTTTGTGGGCCAGTTCTAGCCGAGGTGTGCATCACTTCTTTGTATGCTATTAGACAGAACTTAGTCACAGGGCTTCCCTGAGATGCAAAGGAGCCTGGCTTATGCAGTTTCTGGAGAGCGAACCCCTTCTCAGCAATAGCTCCACACTACGGAAGCAAGCATGAGTCTACGGTGAACATTGTCATCTCTTCCACAACCACCTTGGCTGCTTAGCAACAATATGGCTTGGGTAAAGTTTCTCATCCCCTCTAAGCCTTAGTTTGGGATCTGCAAAATGGGAATACAAATACAGTCTCAATGCTACATATCTGTTTCTGCAAGGCTAATTAGCCCATATGCAATTGGTAAACAAGGATATGTTATCCATGAACACAGAAGTGGCATTGGTTCATATTTAAGTTTTCTCCTT